>NC_000011.10:52969018-53216710 GCF_000001405.40 Homo sapiens | reverse complement strand
CTTCTGTCTAGGTTTGATGTGAAGATATACCCGTTTCGAAGGAAGGCCACAAAGTGGTCCAAATATCCACTTGCACATTCAACAAAAAGAGTGTTTGAAAGCTAACCTATGAAACATAGGTAGCCCTCTGTGAGGTGGATGCAATCTTCACCACTGAGCTTCACACTGTGGATTCCTTCAGCAAGTTACTTAACCCCCCTGAGCCTTAGTTTCCACCTTGTCTAATGGTGATAATAGTAGTATCTGAGCCATAGGGGTATTGTGAGGATTCAGTACTTCCGTGTAGTTCTGGGAAGCATATCCCGTTTCCAACGAAATCCTCAGAGAGGTCCAAATATCCACTTGCATATTCTACAGAAAGTGGGTTTGGAAACTGCTCCATCTAAAGGAATGTTCAGCTCTGTTAGTTCAATCCAATGATCACTAAGAATTTTAAGTGAATGCTTCCGTTTGGTTTTTAGATGAAGTTATTTCCTTTACTACAGTAGGCCTCAAAGCAGTCCAAATCTCCAATCGCAGATTCTACAAAAAGATTGTTTACAACCTGCTCTATCTATAGGAATGTTCAACTCTGTGAGTCGAATGCAATCATCACAAAGTAGTTTCTGAGAATGCTTCCATCTAGTTTTTATGTGAAGATTTTCCTTTTCCACCACAGGCCTCAAAGCCCTCCAAATGTCCACTTGCAGATTCTAGAAAAAGAGGGTTTCAGAGCTGCTCTGTCAAGAGGAAAGTTCAATTCTTGAAGTGGAACAGAAACATCACAAAGCAGTTTCTGGGAATGCTTCTGTTTAGTTTTTCTGTGAAGATGAACCCGTTTCCAACGAAATCTTCACAGAGGTCCACATATCCACTTGCAGAATCCAAAGAAAGAGAGTTTCAAAACTGCTCCATCAGCAGGATTGTTCACCTCTGTGAGTTGAATGCAGTCATCACAGGAAACATTCTGAGAATGCTTCTGTCTAGGTTTGATGTGAAGATATACCCGTTTCGAAGGAAGGCCACAAAGTGGTCCAAATATCCACTTGCAGATTCTACAAAAAGAGTGTTTGAAAGCTGAACTATGAAATCAAGGTCCAACTCTGTGAGGTGAATGCAAACATCACAAAGAAGTTTCTCAGAATGCTTCCGTGTAGTTCTGGGAAGTTTATCCCGTTTCCAACGAAATCCTCAGAGCAAGTCCAAATATCCACTTGCAGATTCTACAGAAAGTGTGTTTGGAAACTGCTCCATCTAAAGGAATGTTCAGCTCTGTTAGTTCAATCCAATGATCACTAAGAATTGTCTGTGAATGCTTCCGTTTGCTTTTTAGATGAAGTTATTTCCTTTACTACAGTAGGCCTCAAAGCAGTGCAAATCTCCAATCGCAGATTCTACAAAAAGATTGTTTACAACCTGCTCTATCTATAGGAATGTTCAACTCTGTGAGTCGAATGCAATCATCACAAAGTAGTTTCTGAGAATGCTTCCATCTAGTTTTTATGTGAAGATTTTCCTTTTCCACCACAGGCCTCAAAGCCCTCCAAATGTCCACTTGCAGATTCTAGAATAAGAGGGTTTCAGAGCTGCTCTGTCAAGAGGAAAGTTCAATTCCTGAAGTGGAACACAAACATCACAAAGCAGTTTCTGAGAATGCTCCTGTTTAGTTTTTCTGTGAAGATGAACCCGTTTCCAACGAAATCTTCACAGAGGTCCACATATCCACTTGCAGAATACAAAGAAAGAGAGTTTCAAAACTGCTCCATCAGCAGGATTGTTCACCTCTGTGAGTTGAATGCAGTCATCACAGGAAACATTCTGAGAATGCTTCTGTCTAGGTTTGATGTGAAGATATACCCGTTTCGAAGGAAGGCCACAAAGTGGTCCAAATATCCACTTGCAGATTCTACAAAAAGAGTGTTTGAAAGCTGAACTATGAAAGCAAGGTTCAACTCTGTGAGTTGAATGCAAACATCACAAAGAAGTTTCTCACAATGCTTCCGTGTAGTTCTGGGAAGTTTATCCCGTTTCCAACGAAATCCTCAGAGAGGTCCAAATATCCACTTGCAGATTCTACAGAAAGTGTGTTTGGAAACTGCGCCATCTAAAGGAATGTTCAGCTCTGTTAGTTCAATGCAATGATCACTAAGAATTGTCTGTGAATCCTTCCGTTTGGTTTTTAGATGAAGTTATTTCCTTTACTACAGTAGGCCTCAAAGCAGTCCAAATCTCCAATCGCAGATTCTACAAAAACATTGTTTACAACCTGCTCTATCTATAGGAATGTTCAACTCTGTGAGTCGAATGCAATCATCACAAAGTAGTTTCTGAGAATGCTTCCATCTAGTTTTTATGTGAAGAGTTTCCTTTTCCACCACAGGCTTCAAAGCCCTCCAAATGTCCACATGCAGATTCTAGAAAAAGAGGGTTTCAGAGCTGCTCTCTCAAGAGGAAAGTTCAATTCCTGAAGTGGAACACAAACATCACAAAGCAGTTTCTGAGAATGCTTCTGTTTAGTTTTTCTGTGAAGATGAACCCGTTTCCAACGAAATCTTCACAGAGATCCACATATCCACTTGCAGAATCCAAAGAATGAGAGTTTCAAAACTGCTCCATCAGCAGGATTGTTCACCTCTGTGAGTTGATTGCAGTCATCACAGGAAACATTCCGAGAATGCTTCTGTCTAGGTTTGATGTGAAGATATACCCGTTTCGAAGGAAGGCCACAAAGTGGTCCAAATATCCACTTGCAGATTCTACAAAAAGAGTGTTTGAAAGCTGAACTATGAAAGCAAGGTTCAATTCTGTGAGTTGAATGCAAACATCCCAAAGAAGTTTCTCAGAATACTTCCGTGTAGTTCTGGGAAGTTTATCCCGTTTCCAACGAAATCCTCAGAGACGTCCAAATATCCACTTGCAGATTCTACAGAAAGTGTGTTTGGAAACTGCTCCATCTAAAGGAATGTTCAGCTCTGTTAGTTCAATCCAATGATCACTAAGAATTGTCTGTGAATGCTTCCGTTTGGTTTTTAGATGAAGTTATTTCCTTTACTACAGTAGGCCTCAAAGCAGTCCAAATCTCCAATCGCAGATTCTACAAAAAGATTGTTTACAACCTGCTCTATCTATTGGAATGTTCAACTCTGTGAGTCGAATGCAATCATCACAAAGTAGTTTCTGAGAATGCTTCCATCTAGTTTTTATGTGAAGATTTTCCTTTTCCACCACAGGCCTCAAAGCCCTCCAAATGTCCCCTTGCAGACTCTAGAAAAAGAGGGTTTCAGAGCTGCTCTGTCAAGAGGAAAGTTCAATTCTTGAAGTGGAACACAAACATCACAAAGCAGTTTCTGAGAATGCTTCTGTTTAGTTTTTCTGTGAAGATGAACCCGTTTCCAACGAAATCTTCACAGAGGTCCACATATCCACTTGCAGAATCCAAAGAAAGAGAGTTTCAAAACTGCTCCATCAGCAGGATTGTTCACCTCTGTGAGTTGAATGCAGTCATCACAAGAAACATTCTGAGAATGCTTCTGTCTAGGTTTGATGTGAAGATATACCCGTTTCGAAGGAAGGCCACAAAGTGGTCCAAATATCCACTTGCAGATTCTACAAAAAGAGTGTTTGAAAGCTGAACTATGAAAGCAAGGTTCTACTCTGTGAGTTGAATGCAAACATCACAAAGAAGTTTCTCACAATGCTTCCGTGTAGTTCTGGGAATTTTATCCCGTTTCCAACGAAATCCTCAGAGAGGTCCAAATATCCACTTGCAGATGCGACAGAAAGTGTGTTTGGAAACTGCGCCATCTAAAGGAATGTTCAGCTCTGTTAGTTCAATGCAATGATCACTAAGAATTGTCTGTGAATGCTTCCGTTTGGTTTTTAGATGAAGTTATTTCCTTTACTACAGTAGGCCTCAAAGCAGTCCAAATCTCCAATCGCAGATTCTACAAAAAGATTGTTTACAACCTGCTCTATCTATAGGAATGTTCAACTCTGTGAGTCGAATGCAATCATCACAAAGTAGTTTCTGAGAATGCTTCCATCTAGTTTTTATGTGAAGATTTTCCTTTTCCACCACAGGCCTCAAAGCCCTTCAAATGTCCACTTGCAGATTCTAGAATAAGAGGGTTTCAGAGCTGCTCTGTCAAGAGGAAAGTTCAATTCCTGAAGTGGAACACAAACATCACAAAGCAGTTTCTGAGAATGCTTCTGTTTATTTTTTCTGTGAAGATGAACCCGTTTCCAACGAAATCTTCACAGAGGTGCACATATCCACTTGCAGAATCCAAAGAAAGAGAGTTTCAAAACTGCTCCATCAACAGGATTGTTCACCTCTGTGAGTTGAATGCAGTCATCACAGGAAACATTCTGAGAATGCTTCTGTCTAGGTTTGATGTGAAGATATACCCGTTTCGAAGGAAGGCCACAAAGTGGTCCAAATATCCACTTGCAGATTCTACAAAAAGAGTGTTTGAAAGCTGAACTATGAAAGCAAGGTTCAACTCTGTGAGTTGAATGCAAACATCACAAAGAAGTTTCTCACAATGCTTCCGTGTAGTTCTGGGAAGTTTATCCCGTTTCCAACGAAATCCTCAGAGAAGTCCAAATATCCACTTGCAGATTCTACAGAAAGTGGGTTTGGAAACTGCTCCATCTAAAGGAATGTTCAGCTCTGTTAGTTCAATCCACTGATCTCTAAGAATTGTCTGTGAATGCTTCCGTTTGGTTTTTAGATGAAGTTATTACCTTTACTACAGTAGGCCTCAAAGCAGTCCAAATCTCCAATCGCAGATTCTACAAAAAGATTGTTTACAACCTGCTCTATGTATAGGAATGTTCAACTCTGTGAGTCGAATGCAATCATCACAAAGTAGTTTCTGAGAATGCTTCCATAAAGTTTTTATGTGAAGATTTTCCTTTTCCACCACAGGCCTCAAAGCCCTCCAAATGTCCACTTGCAGATTCTAGAAAAAGAGGGTTTCAGAGCTGCTCTGTCAAGAGGAAAGTTCAATTCTTTAAGTGGAACACAAACATCACAAAGCAGTGTCTGAGAATGCTCCTGTTTAGTTTTTCTGTGAAGATGAACCCGTTTCCAACGAAATCTTCACAGAGGTCCACATATCCACTTGCAGAATCCAAAGAAAGAGAGTTTCAAAACTGCTCCATCAGCAGGATTGTTCACCTCTGTGAGTTGAATGCAGTCATCACAGGAAACATTGCTGAGAATGCTTCTGTCTAGGTTTGATGTGAAGATATACCCGTTTCGAAGGAAGGCCAGAAAGTGGTCCAAATATCCACTTGCAGATTCTACAAAAAGAGTGTTTGAAAGCTGAACTATGAAAGCAAGGTTCAACTCTGTGAGTTGAATGCAAACATCACAAAGAAGTTTCTCAGAATGCTTCCGTGTAGTTCTGGGAAGTTTATCCCGTTTCCAACGAAATCCTCAGAGAAGTCCAAATATCCACTTGCAGATTCTACAGAAAGTGGGTTTGGAAACTGCTCCATCTAAAGGAATGTTCAGCTCTGTTAGTTCAATCCAATGATCACTAAGAATTGTCTGTGAATGCTTCCGTTTGGTTTTTAGATGAAGTTATTTCCTTTACTACAGAAGGCCTCAAAGCAGTCCAAATCTCCAATCGCAGATTCTACAAAAAGATTGTTTACAACCTGCTCTATCTATAGGAATGTTCAACTCTGTGAGTCGAATGCAATCATCACAAAGTAGTTTCTGAGAATGCTTCCATCTAGTTTTTATGTGAAGATTTTCCTTTTCCACCACAGGACCCAAAACCCTCCAAATGTCCACTTTCAGATTCTAGAAAAAGAGGGTTTCAGAGCTGCTCTATCAAGAGGAAAGTTCAATTCCTGAAGTGGAACACAAACATCACAAAGCAGTTTCTGAGAATGCTTCTGTTTAGTTTTTCTGTGAAGATGAACCCGTTTCCAACGAAATCTTCACAGAGGTCCACATATCCACTTGCAGAATCCAAAGAAAGAGAGTTTCAAAACTGCTCCATCAGCAGGATTGTTCACCTCTGTGAGTTGAATGCAGTCATCACAGGAAACATTCTGAGAATGCTTCTGTCTAGGTTTGATGTGAAGATATACCCGTTTCGAAGGAAGGCCACAAAGTGGTCCAAATATCCACTTGCAGATTCTACAAAAAGAGTGTTTGAAAGCTGAACTATGAAAGCAAGGTTCAACTCTGTGAGTTGAATGCAAACATCACAAAGAAGTTTCTCACAATGCTTCCGTGTAGTTCTGGGAAGTTTATCCAGTTTCCAACGAAATCCTCAGAGAAGTCCAAATATCCACTTGCAGATTCTACAGAAAGTGGGTTTGGAAACTGCTCCATCTAAAGGAATGTTCAGCTCTGTTAGTTCAAACCAATGATCACTAAGAATTGTCTGTGAATGCTTCCGTTTGGTTTTTAGATGAAGTTATTTCCTTTACTACAGTAGGCCTCAAAGCATTCCAAATCTCCAATCGCAGATTCTACAAAAAGATTGTTTACAACCTGCTCTATCTATAGGAATGTTCAACTCTGTGAGTCGAATGCAATCATCACAAAGGAGTTTCTGAGAATGCTTCCATCTAGTTTTTATGTGAAGATTTTCCATTTTCCACCACAGGCCTCAAAGCCCTCCAAAGGTCCACTTGCAGATTCTAGAAAAAGAGGGTTTCAGAGCTGCTCTGTCAAGAGGAAAGCTCAATTCTTGAAGTGGAACACAAACATCACAAAGCAGTTTCTGAGAATGCTTCTGTTTAGTTTTTCTGTGAAGATGAACCCGTTTCCAACGAAATCTTCACAGAGGTCCACATATCCACTTGCAGAATCCAAAGAAAGAGAGTTTCAAAACTGCTCCATCACCAGGATTGTTCACCTCTGTGAGTTGAATGCAGTCATCACAGGAAACATTCTGAGAATGCTTCTGTCTAGGTTTGATGTGAAGATATACCCGTTTCGAAGGAAGGCCACAAAGTGGTCCAAATATCCACTTGCAGATTCTACAAAAAGAGTGTTTGAAAGCTGAACTATGAAAGCAAGGTTCAACTCTGTGAGTTGAATGCAAACATCACAAAGAAGTTTCTCAGAATGCTTCCGTGTAGTTCTGGGAAATTTATCCCGTTTCCAACGAAATCCTCAGAGAGGTCCAAATATCCACTTGCAGATTCTACAGAAAGTGTGTTTGGAAACTGCGCCATCTAAAGGAATGTTCAGCTCTGTTAGTTCAATCCAATGATAACTAAGAATTGTCTGTGAATGCTTCCGTTTGGTTTTTAGATGAAGTTATTTCCTTTACTACAGTAGGCCTCAAAGCAGTCCAAATCTCCAATCGCAGATTCTACAAAAAGATTGTTTACAACCTGCTCTATCTATAGGAATGTTCAACTCTGTGAGTCGAATGCAATCATCAAAAAGTAGTTTCTGAGAATGCTTCCATCTAGTTTTTATGTGAAGATTTTCCTTTTCCACCACAGGCCTCAAAGCCCTCCAAATGTCCACTTGCAGATTCTAGAAAAAGAGGGTTTCAGAGCTGCTCTTTCAAGAGGAAAGTTCAATTCCTGAAGTGGAACACAAACATCACAAAGCAGTTTCTGAGAATGCTTCTGTTTAGTTTTTCTGTGAAGATGAACCCGTTTCCAACGAAATCTTCACAGAGGTCCACATATCAACTTGCAGAATCCAAAGAAAGAGAGTTTCAAAAGTGCTCCATCAACAGGATTGTTCACCTCTGTGAGTTGAATGCAGTCATCACAGGAAACATTCTGAGAATGCTTCTGTCTAGGTTTGATGTGAAGATATACCCGTTTCGAAGGAAGGCCACAAAGTGGTCCAAATATCCACTTGCAGATTCTACAAAAAGAGTGTTTGAAAGCTGAACTATGAAAGCAAGGTTCAACTCTGTGAGTTGAATGCAAACATCACAAAGAAGTTTCTCACAATGCTTCCCTGTAGTTCTGGGAAGTTTATCCCGTTTCCAACGAAATCCTCAGAGAAGTCCAAATATCCACTTGCAGATTCTACAGAAAGTGTGTTTGGAAACTGCTCCATCTAAAGTAATGTTCAGCTCTGTTAGTTCAATCCAATGATCACTAAGAATTGTCTGTGAATGCTTCCGTTTGGTTTTTAGATGAAGTTATTTCCTTTACTACAGTAGGCCTCAAAGCAGTCCAAATCTCCAATCGCAGATTCTACAAAAAGATTGTTTACAACCTGCTCTATCTATAGGAATGTTCAACTCTGTGAGTCGAATGCAATCATCACAAAGTAGTTTCCTGAGAATGCTTCCATCTAGTTTTTATGTGAAGATTTTCCTTTTCCACCACAGGCCTCAAAGCCCTCCAAATGTCCACTTGCAGATTCTAGAATAAGAGGGTTTCAGAGCTGCTCTGTCAAGAGGAAAGTTCAATTCCTGAAGTGGAACACAAACATCACAAAGCAGGTTCTGAGAATGCTCCTGTTTAGTTTTTCTGTGAAGATGAACCCGTTTCCAACGAAATCTTCACAGAGGTCCACATATCCACTTGCAGAATCCAAAGAAAGAGAGTTTCAAAACTGCTCCATCAGCAGGATTGTTCACCTCTGTGAGTTGAATGCAGTCATCACAGGAAACATTCTGAGAATGCTTCTGTCTAGGTTTGATGTGAGGATATACCCGTTTCGAAGGAAGGCCACAAAGTGGTCCAAATATCCACTTGCAGATTCTACAAAAAGAGTGTTTGAAAGCTGAACTATGAAAGCAAGGTTCAACTCTGTGAGTTGAATGCAAACATCACAAAGAAGTTTCTCAGAATGCTTCCGTGTAGTTCTGGGAAGTTTACCCGTTTCCAACGAAAATCTCAGAGAGGTCCAAATATCCACTTGCAGATTCTACAGAAAGTGTGTTTGGAAACTGCTCCATCTAAAGGAATGTTCAGCTCTGTTAGTTCAATGCAATGATCACTAAGAATTGTCTGTGAATGCTTCCGTTTGGTTTTTAGATGAAGTTATTTCCTTTACTACAGTAGGCCTCAAAGCAGTCCAAATCTCCAATCGCAGATTCTACAAAAAGATTGTTTACAACCTGCTCTATCTATAGGAATGTTCAACTCTGTGAGTCGAATGCAATCCTCACAGAGTAGTTTCTGAGAATGCTTCCATCTAGTTTTTATGTGAAGATTTTCCTTTTCCACCACAGGCCTCAAAGCCCTCCAAATGTCCACTTGCAGATTCTAGAAAAAGAGGTTTTCAGAGCTGCTCTGTCAAGAGGAAAGTTCAATTCTTGAAGTGGAACACAAACATCACAAAGCAGTTTCTGAGAATGCTTCTGTTTAGTTTTTCTGTGAAGATGAACCCGTTTCCAACGAAATCTTCACAGAGGTCCACATATCCACTTGCAGAATCCAAAGAAAGAGAGTTTCAAAACTGCTCCATCAGCAGGATTGTTCACCTCTGTGAGTTGAATGCAGTCATCACAGGAAACATTCTGAGAATGCTTCTGTCTAGGTTTGATGTGAAGATATACCCGTTTCGAAGGAAGGCCACAAAGTGGTCCAAATATCCACTTGCAGATTCTACAAAAAGAGTGTTTGAAAGCTGAACTATGAAAGCAAGCTTCAACTCTGTGAGTTGAATGCAAACATCACAAAGAAGTTTCTCACAATGCTTCCGTGTAGTTCTGGGAAGTTTATCCCGTTTCCAACGAAATCCTCAGAGAAGTCCAAATATCCACTTGCAGATTCTACAGAAAGTGTGTTTGGAAACTGCTCCATCTAAAGGAATGTTCAGCTCTGTTAGTTCAATCCAATGATCACTAAGAATTGTCTGTGAATGCTTCCGTTTGGTTTTTAGATGAAGTTATTTCCTTTACTACAGTAGGCCTCAAAGCAGTCCAAATCTCCAATCGCAGATTCTACAAAAAGATTGTTTACAACCTGCTCTATCTATAGGAATGTTTAACTCTGTGAGTCGAATGCAATCATCACAAAGTAGTTTCTGAGAATGCTTCCATCTAGTTTTTATGTGAAGATTTTCCTTTTCCACCACAGGCCTCAAAGCCCTCCAAATGTCCACTTGCAGATTCTAGAATAAGAGGGTTTCAGAGCTGCTCGGTCAAGAGGAAATTTCAATTCTTGAAGTGGAACACAAACATCACAAAGCAGTTTCTGAGAATGCTCCTGTTTAGTTTTTCTGTGAAGATGAACACGTTTCCAACGAAATCTTCACAGAGGTCCACATATCCACTTGCAGAATCCAAAGAAAGAGAGTTTCAAAACTGCTCCATCAGCAGGATTGTTCACCTCTGTGAGTTGAATGCAGTCATCCCAGGAAACATTCTGAGAATGCTTCTGTCTAGGTTTGATGTGAAGATATACCCGTTTCGAAGGAAGGCCACAAAGTGGTCCAAATATCCACTTGCAGATTCTACAAAAAGAGTGTTTGAAAGCTGAACTATGAAAGCAAGGTTCAACTCTGTGAGTTGAATGCAAACATCACAAAGAAGTTTCTCACAATGCTTCCGTGTAGTTCTGGGAAGTTTATCCCGTTTCCAACGAAATCCTCAGAGAGGTCCAAATATCCACTTGCAGATTCTACAGAAAGTGTGTTTGGAAACTGCGCCATCTAAAGGAATGTTCAGCTCTGTTAGTTCAATGCAATGATCACTAAGAATTGTCTGTGAATCCTTCCGTTTGGTTTTTAGATGAAGTTATTTCCTTTACTACAGTAGGCCTCAAAGCAGTCCAAATCTCCAATCGCAGATTCTACAAAAAGATTGTTTACAACCTGCTCTATCTATAGGAATGTTCAACTCTGTGAGTCGAAAGCCATCATCACAAAGTAGTTTCTGAGAATGCTTCCATCTAGTTTTTATGTGAAGATTTCCTTTTCCACCACAGGCCTCAAAGCCCTCCAAATGTCCACTTGCAGATTCTAGAAAAAGAGGGTTTCAGAGCTGCTCTGTCAAGAGGAAAGTTCAATTCTTGAAGTGGAACACAAACATCACAAAGCAGTTTCTGAGAATGCTCCTGTTTAGTTTTTCTGTGAAGATGAACCCTTTTCCAGCGAAATCTTCACAGAGGTCCACATATCCACTTGCAGAATCCAAAGAAAGAGAGTTTCAAAACTGCTCCATCAACAGGATTGTTCACCTCTGTGAGTTGAATGCAGTCATCACAGGAAACATTCTGAGAATGCTTCTGTCTAGGTTTGATGTGAAGATATACCCGTTTCGAAGGAAGGCCACAAAGTGGTCCAAATATCCACTTGCAGATTCTACAAAAAGAGTGTTTGAAAGCTGAACTATGAAAGCAAGGTTCAACTCTGTGAGTTGAATGCAAACATCACAAAGAAGTTTCTCAGAATGCTTCCGTGTAGTTCTGGGAAGTTTATCCCGTTTCCAACGAAATCCTCAGAGAAGTCCAAATATCCACTTGCAGATTCTACAGAAAGTGTGTTTGGAAACTGCTCCATCTAAAGGAATGTTCAGCTCTGTTAGTTCAATCCAATGATCACTAAGAATTGTCTGTGAATGCTTCCGTTTGGTTTTTAGATGAAGTTATTTCCTTTACTACAGTAGGCCTCAAAGCAGTCCAAATCTCCAATCGCAGATTCTAGAAAAAGATTGTTTACAACCTGCTCTATCTATAGGAATGTTCAACTCTGTGAGTCGAATGCAATCATCACAAAGTAGTTTCTGAGAATGCTTCCATCTAGTTTTTATGTGAAGATTTTCCTTTTCCACCACAGGCCTCAAAGCCCTCCAAATGTCCACTTGCAGATTCTAGAAAAAGAGGGTTTCAGATCTGCTCTGTCAAGAGGAAAGTTCAATTCTTGAAGTGGAACACAAACATCACAAAGCAGTTTCTGAGAATGCTTCTGTTTAGTTTTTCTGTGAAGATGAACCCGTTTCCAACGAAATCTTCACAGAAGGTCCACATATCCACTTGCAGAATCCAAAGAAAGAGAGTTTCAAAACTGCTCCATCAGCAGGATTGTTCACCTCTGTGAGTTGAATGCAGTCATCACAGGAAACATTCTGAGAATGCTTCTGTCTAGGTTTGATGTGAAGATATACCCGTTTCGAAGGAAGGCCACAAAGTGGTCCAAATATCCACTTGCAGATTCTACAAAAAGAGTGTTTGAAAGCTGAACTATGAAAGCAAGGTTCAACTCTGTGAGTTGAATGCAAACATCACAAAGAAGTTTCTCACAATGCTTCCGTGTAGTTCTGGGAAGTTTATCCCGTTTCCAACGAAATCCTCAGAGAGGTCCAAATATCCACTTGCAGATTCTACAGAAAGTGTGTTTGGAAACTGCTCCATCTAAAGGAATGTTCAGCTCTGTTAGTTCAATCCAATGATCACTAAGAATTGTCTGTGAATGCTTCCGTTTGGTTTTTAGATGAAGTTATTTCCTTTACTACAGTAGGCCTCAAAGCAGTCCAAATCTCCAATCGCAGATTCTACAAAAAGATTGTTTACAACCTGCTCTATCTATAGGAATGTTCAACTCTGTGAGTCGAATGCAATCATCACAAAGGAGTTTCTGAGAATGCTTCCATCTACTTTTTATGTGAAGAGTTTCCTTTTCCACCAAAGGCCTCAAAGCCCTCCAAATGTCCACTTGCAGATTCTAGAAAAAGAGGGTTTCAGAGCTGCTCTGTCAAGAGGAAAGTTCAATTCCTGAAGTGGAACACAAACATCACAAAGCAGTTTCTGAGAATGCTCCTGTTTAGTTTTTCTGTGAAGATGAACCCGTTTCCAACGAAATCTTCACAGAGGTCCACATATCCACTTGCAGAATCCAAAGAAAGAGAGTTTCAAAACTGCTCCATCAGCAGGATTGTTCACCTCTGTGAGTTGAATGCAGTCATCACAGGAAACATTCTGAGAATGCTTCTGTCTAGGTTTGATGTGAAGATTTACCCGTTTCGAAGGAAGGCCACAAAGTGGTCCAAATATCCACTTGCAGATTCCACAAAAAGAGTGTTTGAAAGCTGAACTATGAAAGCAAGGTTCAACTTCTGTGAGTTGAATGCAAACATCACAAAGAAGTTTCTCAGAATGCTTCCGTGTAGTTCTGGGAAATTTATCCCGTTTCCAACGAAATCCTCAGAGAGGTCCAAATATCCACTTGCAGATTCTACAGAAAGTGTGTTTGGAAACTGCTCCATCTAAAGGAATGTTCAGCTCTGTTAGTTCATTCCAATGATCACTAAGAATTGTCTGTGAATGCTTCCGTTTGGTTTTTAGATGAAGTTATTTCCTTTACTACAGTAGGCCTCAAAGCAGTCCAAATCTCCAATCGCAGATTCTACAAAAACATTGTTTACACCCTGCTCTATCTATAGGAATGTTCAACTCTGTGAGTCGAATGCAATCATCACAAAGTAGTTTCTGAGAATGCTTCCATCTAGTTTTTATGTGAAGATTTTCCTTTTCCACCACAGGCCTCAAAGCCCTCCCAATGTCCACTTGCAGATTCTAGAAAAAGAGGGTTTCAGAGCTGCTCTGTCAAGAGGAAAGTTCAATTCTTGAAGTGGAACACAAACATCACAAAGCAGTTTCTGAGAATGCTTCTGTTTAGTTTTTCTGTGAAGATGAACACGTTTCCAACGAAATCTTCACAGAGGTCCACATATCCACTTGCAGAATCCAAAGAAAGAGAGTTTCAAAACTGCTCCATCAGCAGGATTGTTCACCTCTGTGAGTTGAATGCAGTCATCACAAGAAACATTCTGAGAATGCTTCTGTCTAGGTTTGATGTGAAGATATACCCGTTTCGAAGGAAGGCCACAAAGTGTTCCAAATATCCACTTGCAGATTCCACAAAAAGAGTGTTTGAAAGCTGAACTATGAAAGCAAGGTTCAACTCTGTGAGTTGAATGCAAACATCACAAAGAAGATTCTCAGAATGCTTCCCTGTAGTTCTGGGAAGTTTATCCCGTTTCCAACGAAATCCTCAGAGAAGTCCAAATATCCACTTGCAGATTCTGCAGAAAGTGTGTTTGGAAACTGCTCCATCTAAAGGAATGTTCAGCTCTGTTAGTTCAATCCAATGATCACTAAGAATTGTCTGTGAATGCTTCCGTTTGGTTTTTAGATGAAGTTATTTCCTTTACTACAGTAGGCCTCAAAGCAGTCCAAATCTCCAATCGCAGATTCTACAAAAAGATTGTTTACAACCTGCTCTATCTATAGGAATGTTCAACTCTGTGAGTCGAATGCAATCATCACAAAGTAGTTTCTGAGAATGCTTCCATCTAGTTTTTATGTGAAGATTTTCCTTTTCCACCAAAGGCCTCAAAGCCCTCCAAATGTCCACTTGCAGATTCTAGAAAAAGAGGGTTTCAGAGCTGCTCTGTCAAGAGGAAAGTTCAATTCTTGAAGTGGAACACAAACATCACAAAGCAGTTTCTGAGAATGCTCCTGTTTAGTTTTTCTGTGAAGATGAACCCGTTTCCAACGAAATCTTCAAAGAGTTCCACATATCCACTTGCAGAATCCAAAGAAAGGGAGTTTCAAAACTGCTCCATCAACAGGATTGTTCACCTCTGTGAGTTTAATGCAGTCATCACAGGAAACATTCTGAGAATGCTTCTGTCTAGGGTTGATGTGAAGATATACCCGTTTCGAAGGAAGGCCACAAAGTGGTCCAAATATCCACTTGCAGATTCTACAAAAAGAGTGTTTGAAAGCTGAACTATGAAAGCAAGGTTCAACTCTGTGAGTTGAATGCAAACATCACAAAGAAGTTTCTCAGAATGCTTCCGTGTAGTTCTGGGAAGTTTATCCCGTTTCCAACGAAATCCTCAGAGAGGTCCAAATATCCACTTGCAGATTCTACAGAAAGTGTGTTTGGAAACTGCTCCATCTAAAGGAATGTTCAGCTCTGTTAGTTCAATCCAATGATCACTAAGAATTGTCTGTGAATGCTTCCGTTTGGTTTTTAGATGAAGTTATTTCCTTTACTACAGTAGGCCTCAAAGCAGTCCAAATCTCCAATCGCAGATTCTACAAAAAGATTGTTTACAACCTGCTCTATCTATAGGAATGTTCAACACTGTGAGTCGAATGCAATCATCACAAAGTAGTTTCTGAGAATGCTTCCATCTAGTTTTTATGTGAAGATTTTCCTTTTCCACCACAGGCCTCAAAGCCCTCCAAATGTCCACTTGCAGATTCTAGAAAAAGAGGGTTTCAGAGCTGCTCTGTCAAGAGGAAAGTTCAATTCTTGAAGTGGAACACAAACATCACAAAGCAGTTTCTGAGAATGCTTCTGTTTAGTTTTTCTGTGAAGATGAACCCGTTTCCAACGAAATCTTCACAGAGGTCCACATATCCACTTGCAGAATCCAAAGAAGGAGAGTTTCAAAACTGCTCCATCAGCAGGATTGTTCACCTCTGTGAGTTGAATGCAGTCATCACAGGAAACATTCTGGGAATGCTTCTGTCTAGGTTTGATGTGAAGATATACCCGTTTCGAAGGAAGGCCACAAAGTGGTCCACATATCCACTTGCAGATTCTACAAAAAGAGTGTTTGAAAGCTGAACTATGAAAGAAAGGTTCAACTCTGTGAGTTGAATGCAAACATCACAAAGAAGTTTCTCAGAATGCTTCCGTGTAGTTCTGGGAAGTTTATCCCGTTTCCAACGAAATCCTCAGAGAAGTCCAAATATCCACTTGCAGATTCTACAGAAAGTGTGTTTGGAAAATGCTCCATCTAAAGGAATGTTCAGCTCTGTTAGTTCAATCCAATGATCACTAAGAATTGTCTGTGAATGCTTCCGTTTGGTTTTTAGATGAAGTTATTTCCTTTACTACAGTAGGCCTCAAAGGAGTCCAAATCTCCAATCGCAGATTCTAGAAAAACATTGTTTACAACCTGCTCTATCTATAGGAATGTTCAACTCTGTGAGTCGAATGCAATCATCACAAAGTAGTTTCTGAGAATGCTTCCATCTAGTTTTTATGTGAAGATTTTCCTTTTCCACCACAGGCCTCAAAGCCCTCCAAAGGTCCACTTGCAGATTCTAGAAAAAGAGGGTTTCAGAGCTGCTCTGTCAAGAGGAAAGTTCAATTCCTGAAGTGGAACACAAACATCACAAAGCAGTTTCTGAGAATGCTCCTGTTTAGTTTTTCTGTGAAGATGAACCCGTTTCCAACGAAATCTTCACAGAGGTCCACATATCCACTTGCAGAATCCAAAGAAAGAGAGTTTCAAAACTGCTCCATCAGCAGGATTGTTCACCTCTGTGAGTTGAATGCAGTCATCACAGGAAACATTCTGAGAATGCTTCTGTCTAGGTTTGATGTGAAGATATACCCGTTTCGAAGGAAGGCCACAAAGTGGTCCAAATATCCACTTGCAGATTCTACAAAAAGAGTGTTTGAAAGCTGAACTATGAAAGCAAGGTTCAACTCTGTGAGTTGAATGCAAACATCACAAAGAAGTTTCTCACAATGCTTCCGTGTAGTTCTGGGAAGTTTATCCCGTTTCCAACGAAATCCTCAGAGAGGTCCAAATATCCACTTGCAGATTCTACAGAAAGTGTGTTTGGAAACTGCGCCATCTAAAGGAATGTTCAGCTCTGTTAGTTCAATGCAATGATCACTAAGAATTGTCTGTGAATGCTTCCGTTTGGTTTTTAGATGAAGTTATTTCCTTTACTACAGTAGGCCTCAAAGCAGTCCAAATCTCCAATCGAAGATTCTACAAAAAGATTGTTTACAACCTGCTCTATCTATAGGAATGTTCAACTCTGTGAGTCGAATGCAATCATCACAAAGTAGTTTCTGAGAATGCTTCCATCTAGTTTTTATGTGAAGATTTTCCTTTTCCACCACAGGCCTCAAAGCCCTCCAAATGTCCACTTGCAGATTCTAGAAAAAGAGGGATTCAGAGCTGCTCTGTCAAGAGGAAAGTTCAATTCTTGAAGTGGAACACAAACATCACAAAGCAGTTTCTGAGAATGCTTCTGTTTAGTTTTTCTGTGAAGATGAACCCGTTTCCAACGAAATCTTCACAGAGGTCCACATATCCACTTGCAGAATCCAAAGAAAGAGAGTTTCAAAACTGCTCCATCAGCAGGATTGTTCACCTCTGTGAGTTGAATGCAGTCATCACAGGAAACATTCTGAGAATGCTTCTGTCTAGGTTTGATGTGAAGATATACCCGTTTCGAAGGAAGGCCACAAAGTGGTCCAAATATCCACTTGCAGATTCTACAAAAAGAGTGTTTGAAAGCTGAACTATGAAAGCAAGGTTCAACTCTGTGAGTTGAATGCAAACATCACAAAGAATTTTCTCAGAATGCTTCCGTGTAGTTCTGGGAAGTTTATCCCGTTTCCAACGAAATCCCCAGAGAGGTCAAAATATCCACTTGCAGATTCTACAGAAAGTGTGTTTGGAAACTGATCCATCTAAAGGAATGTTCAGCTCTGTTAGTTCAATCCAATATCACTAAGAATTATCTGTGAATGCTTCCGTTTGGTTTTTAGATGAAGTTATTTCCTTTACTACAGTAGGCCTCAAAGCAGTCCAAATCTCCAATCGCAGATTCTACAAAAAGATTGTTTACAACCTGCTCTATCTATAGGAATGTTCAACTCTGTGAGTCGAATGCAATCATCACAAAGTAGTTTCTGAGAATGCTTCCATCTAGTTTTTATGTGAAGATTTTCCTTTTCCACCACAGGCCTAAAAGCCCTCCAAATGTCCACTTGCAGATTCTAGAAAAAGAGGGTTTCAGAGCTGCTCTGTCAAGAGGAAAGTTCAATTCTTGAAGTGGAACACAAACATCACAAAGTAGCTTCTGAGAATGCTTCTGTTTAGTTTTTCTGTGAAGATGAACCGGTTTCCTACGAAATCTTCACAGAGGTCCACATATCAACTTGCAGAATCCAAAGAAAGAGAGTTTCAAAAGTGCTCCATCAACAGGATTGTACACCTCTGTGAGTTGAATGCAGTCATCACAGGAAACATTCTGATAATGCTTCTGTGTAGGTTTGATGTGAAGATATACCCGTTTCGAAGGAAGGCCACAATGTGGTCCAAATATCCACTTGCAGATTCTACAAAAAGAGTGTTTGAAAGCTGAACTATGAAAGCAAGATTCAACTCTGTGAGTTGAATGCAAACATCACAAAGATGTTTCTCAGAATGCTTCCGTGTAGTTCTGGGAAGTTTATCCCGTTTCCAACGAAATCCTCACAGAGGTCCAAATATCCACTTGCAGATTC
Source organism: Homo sapiens (assembly GCF_000001405.40). Lineage (NCBI taxonomy): Eukaryota > Metazoa > Chordata > Mammalia > Primates > Hominidae > Homo > Homo sapiens. The sequence continues at coordinate 53,198,505 of NC_000011.10, read as the reverse complement.
TACAGAAAGTGTGTTTGGAACACTGCGCCATCTAAAGGAATGTTCAGCTCTGTTAGTTCAATCCAATGATCACTAAGAATTGTCTGTGAATGCTTCCGTTTGGTTTTTAGATGAAGTTATTTCCTTTACTACAGTAGGCCTCAAAGCAGTCCAAATCTCCAATCGCAGATTCTACAAAAAGATTTTTTACAACCTGCTCTATCTATAGGAATGTTCAACTCTGTGAGTCGAATGCAATCATCACAAAGTAGTTTCTGAGAATGCTTCCATCTAGTTTTTATGTGAAGATTTTCCTTTTCCATCACAGGCCTCAAAGCCCTCCAAATGTCCACTTGCAGATTCTAGAATAAGAGGGTTTCAGAGCTGCTCTGTCAAGAGGAAAGTTCAATTCCTGAAGTGGAACAAAAACATCACAAAGCAGTTTCTGAGAATGCTTCTGTTTAGTTTTTCTGTGAAGATGAACCCGTTTCCAACGAAATCTTCACAGAGGTCCACATATCCACTTGCAGAATCCAAAGAAAGAGAGTTTCAAAACTGCTCCATCAACAGGATTTTTCACCTCTGTGAGTTGAATGCAGTCATCACAGGAAACATTCTGAGAATGCTTCTGTCTAGGTTTGATGTGAAGATGTACCCGTTTCAAAGGAAGGCCACAAAGTGGTCCAAATATCCACTTGCAGATTCTACAAAAAGAGTGTTTGAAAGCTGAACTATGAAAGCAAGGTTCAACTCTGTGAGTTGAATGCAAACATCAGAAAGATGATTCTCACAATGCTTCCGTGTAGTTCTGGGAAGTTTATCCCGTTACCAACGAAATCCTCAGAGAGGTCCAAATATCCACTTGCAGATTCTACAGAAAGTGTGTTTGGAAACTGCGCCATCTAAGGGAATGTTCAGCTCTGTTTGTTCAATCCAATGATCACTAAGAATTGTCTGTGAATGCTTCCGTTTGGTTTTTAGATGAAGTTATTTCCTTTACTGCAGTAGGCCTCAAAGCATTCCAAATCTCGAATCGCAGATTCTACAAAAAGATTGTTTACAACCTGCTCTATCTATAGGAATGTTCAACTCTGTGAGTCGAATGCAATCATCACAAAGTAGTTTCTGAGAATGCTTCCATCTAGTTTTTATGTGAAGATTTTCCTTTTCCACCACAGGCCTCAAAGCCCTCCAAATGTCCACTTGCAGATTCTAGAATAAGAGGGTTTCAGAGCTGCTCTGTCAAGAGGAAAGTTCAATTCCTGAAGTCGAACACAAACATCACAAAGCAGTTTCTGAGAATGCTTCTGTTTAGTTTTTCTGTGAAGATGAACCCGTTTCCAACGAAATCTTCACAGAGGTCCACACATCCACTTGCAGAATCCAAAGAAAGAGAGTTTCAAAACTGCTCCATCAGCAGGATTGTTCACCTCCGTGAGTTGAATGCAGTCATCACAGGAAACATTCTGAGAATGCTTCTGTCTAGGTTTGATGTGAAGATATACCCGTTTCGAAGGAAGGCCACAAAGTGGTCCAAATATCCACTTGCAGATTCTACAAAAAGAGTGTTTGAAAGCTGAACTATGAAAGCAAGGTTCAACTCTGTGAGTTGAATGCAAACATCACAAAGAAGTTTCTCACGAATGTCCGTGTAGTTCTGGGAAGTTTATCCCGTTTCCAACGAAATCCTCAGAGAGGTCCAAATATCCACTTGCAGATTCTACAGAAAGTGTGTTTGGAAACTGCTCCATCTAAAGGAATGTTCAGCTCTGTTAGTTCAATGCAATGATCACTAAGAATTGTCTGTGAATGCTTCCGTTTGGTTTTTAGATGAAGTTATTTCCTTTACTACAGTAGGCCTCAAAGCAGTCCAAATCTCCAATCGCATATTCTACAAAAAGATTGTTTACAACCTGCTCTATCTATAGGAATTGTTCAACTCTGTCAGTCGAATGCAATCATCACAAAGTAGTTTCTGAGAATGCTTCCATCTAGTTTTTATGTGAAGAGTTTCCTTTTCCACCACAGGCCTCAAAGCCCTCCAAATGTCCACTTGCAGATTCTAGAAAAAGAGGGTTTCAGAGCTGCTCTGTCAAGAGGAAAGTTCAATTCCTGAAGTGGAACACAAACATCACAAAGCAGTTTCTGAGAATGCTTCTGTTTAGTTTTTCTGTGAAGATGAACCCGTTTCCAACGAAATCTTCACAGAGGTCCACATATCAACTTGCAGAATCCAAAGAAAGAGAGTTTCAAAACTGCTCCATCAACAGGATTGTTCACCTCTGTGAGTTGAATGCAGTCATCACAGGAAACATTCTGAGAATGCTTCTGTCTAGGTTTGATGTGAAGATATACCCGTTTCGAAGGAAGGCCACAAAGTGGTCCAAATATCCACTTGCAGATTCTACAAAAAGAGTGTTTGAAAGCTGAACTATGAAAGCAAGTTTCAACACTGTGAGTTGAATGCAAACATCACAAAGAAGTTTCTCACAATTCTTCCGTGTAGTTCTGGGAAGTTTATCCCGTTTCCAACGAAATCCTCAGAGAGGTCCAAATATCCACTTGCAGATTCTACAGAAAGTGTGTTTGGAAACTGCGCCATCTAAAGGAATGTTCAGCTCTGTTAGTTCAATCCAATGATCACTAAGAATTGTCTGTGAATGCTTCCGTTTGGTTTTTAGATGAAGTTATTTCCTTTACTACAGTAGGCCTCAAAGCAGTCCAAATCTCCAATCGCAGATTCTACAAAAACATTGTTTACAACCTGCTCTATCTATAGGAATGTTCAACTCTGTGAGTCGAATGCAATCATCACAAAGTAGTTTCTGAGAATGCTTCCATCTAGTTTTTATGTGAAGATTTTCCTTTTCCACCACAGGCCTCAAAGCCCTCCAAATGTCCACTTGCAGATTCTAGAATAAGAGGGTTTCAGAGCTGCTCTGTCAAGAGGAAAGTTCAATTCCTGAAGTGGAACACAAACATCACAAAGCAGTTTCTGAGAATGTTTCTGTTTAGTTTTTCTGTGAAGATGAACCCGTTTCCAACGAAATCTTCACAGCGGTCCACATATCAACATGCAGAATCCAAAGAAAGAGAGTTTCAAAAGTGCTCCATCAACAGGATTGTTCACCTCTGTGAGTTGAATGCAGTCATCACAGGAAACATTCTGAGAATGCTTCTGTCTAGGTTTGATGTGAAGATATACCCGTTTCGAAGGAAGGCCACAAAGTGGTCCAAATATCCACTTGTAGATTCTACAAAAAGAGTGTTTGAAAGCTGAACTATGAAAGCAAGGTTCAACACTGTGAGTTGAATGCAAACATCCAAAGAAGTTTCTCACAATGCTTCCGTGTAGTACTGGGAAGTTTATCCCGTTTCCAACGAAATCCTCAGAGAGGTCCAAATATCCACTTGCAGATTCTACAGAAAGTGTGTTTGGAAACTGCGCCATCTAAAGGAATGTTCAGCTCTGTTAGTTCAATGCAATGATCACTAAGAATTGTCTGTGAATGCTTCCGTTTGGTTTTTAGATGAAGTTATTTCCTTTACTACAGTAGGCCTCAAATCAGTCCAAATCTCCAATCGCAGATTCTACAAAAAGATTGTTTACAACCTGCTCTATCTATAGGAATGTTCAACTCTGTGAGTCGAATGCAATCATCACAAAGTAGTTTCTGAGAATGCTTCCATCTAGTTTTTATGTGAAGAGTTTCCTTTTCCACCACAGGCCTCAAAGCCCTCCAAATGTCCACTTGCAGATTCTAGAAAAAGAGGGTTTCAGAGCTGCTCTGTCAAAAGGAAAGTTCAATTCTTGAAGTGGAACACAAACATCACAAAGCAGTTTCTGAGAATGCTCCTGTTTAGTTTTTCTGTGAAGATGAACCCGTTTCCAACGAAATCTTCACAGAGGTCCACATATCCACTTGCAGAATCCAAAGAAAGAGAGTTTCAAAACTGCTCCATCAGCAGGATTGTTCACCTCTGTGAGTTGAATGCAGTCATCACAGGAAACATTCTGAGAATGCTTCTGTCTAGGTTTGATGTGAAGATATACCCGTTTCGAAGGAAGGCCACAAAGTGGTCCAAGTATCCACTTGCAGATTCTACAAAAAGAGTGTTTGAAAGCTGAACTATGAAAGCAAGGTTCAACTCTGTGAGTTGAATGCAAACATCCAAAGAAGTTTCTCAGAATGCTTCCGTGTAGTTCTGGGAAGTTTATCCCGTTTCCAACGAAATCCTCAGAGAAGTCCAAATATCCACTTGCAGATTCTACAGAAAGTGTGTTTGGAAACTGCTCCATCTAAAGGAATGTTCAGCTCTGTTAGTTCAATCCAATGATCACTAAGAATTGTCTGTGAATGCTTCCGTTTGGTTTTTAGATGAAGTTATTTCCTTTACTACAGTAGGCCTCAAAGCAGTCCAAATCTCCAATCGCAGATTCTACAAAAAGATTGTTTACAACCTGCTCTATCTATAGGAATGTTCAACTCTGTGAGTCGAATGCAATCATCACAGAGTAGTTTCTGAGAATGCTTCCATCTAGTTTTTATGTGAAGATTTTCCTTTTCCACCACAGGCCTCAAAGCCCTCCAAATGTCCACTTGCAGATTCTAGAATAAGAGGGTTTCAGAGCTGCTCTGTCAAGAGGAAAGTTCAATTCCTGAAGTGGAACACAAACATCACAAAGCAGTTTCTGAGAATGCTTCTCTTTAGTTTTTCTGTGAAGATGAACACGTTTCCAACGAAATCTTCAAAGAGGTCCGCACATCCACTTGCATATTCCAAAGAAAGAGAGTTTCAAAACTGCTCCATCAGCAGGATTGTTCACCTCTGTGCGTTGAATGCAGTCATCACAGGAAACATTCTGAGAATCCTTCTGTCTAGGTTTGATGTGAAGATATACCCGTTTCGAAGGAAGGCCACAAAGTGGTCCAAATATCCACTTGCAGATTCTACAAAAAGAGTGTTTGAAAGCTGAACTATGAAAGCAAGGTTCAACTCTGTGAGTTGAATGCAAAAATCACAAAGAAGTTTCTCAGAATACTTCCGTGTAGTTCTGGGAAGTTTATCCCGTTTCCAACGAAATCCTCAGAGAGGTCCAAATATCCACTTGCAGATTCTACAGAAAGTGTGTTTGGAAACTGCTCCGTCTAAAGGAATGTTCAGCTCTGTTAGTTCAATCCAATGATCACTAAGAATTGTCTGTGAATGCTTCCGTTTGGTTTTTAGATGAAGTTATTTCCTTTACTACAGTAGGCCTCAAAGCAGTCCAAATCTCCAATCGCAGATCCTACAAAAAGATTGTTTACAACCTGCTCTATCTATAGGAATGTTCAACTCTGTGAGTCGAATGCAATCATCACAAAGTAGTTTCTGAGAATGCTTCCATCTAGTTTTAATGTGAAGATTTTCCTTTTCCACCACAGGCCTCAAAGCCCTCCAAATGTCCACTTGCAGATTCTAGAATAAGAGGGTTTCAGAGCTGCTCTGTCAAGATGAAAGTTCAATTCCTGAAGTGGAACACAAACATCACAAAGCAGTTTCTGAGAATGCTTCTGTTTAGTTTTTCTGTGAAGATGAACCCGTTTCCAACGAAATCTACACAGAGGTCCACATATCCACTTGCAGAATCCAAAGAAAGAGAGTTTCAAAACTGCTCCATGAGCAGGATTGTTCACATCTGTGAGTTGAATGCAGTCATCACAGGAAACATTCTGAGAATGCTTCTGTCTAGGTTTGATGTGAAGATATACCCGTTTCGAAGGAAGGCCACAAAGTGGTCCAAATATCCACTTGCAGATTCTACAAAAAGAGTGTTTGAAAGCTGAACTATGAAAGCAAGGTTCAACTCTGTGAGTTGAATGCAAACATCACAAAGAAGTTTCTCAGCATGCTTCCGTGTAGTTCTGGGAAGTTTATCCCGTTTCCAACGAAATCCTCAGAGAGGTCCAAATATCCACTTGCAGATTCTACAGAAAGTGTGTTTGGAAACTGCTCCATCTAAAGGAATGTTCAGCTCTGTTAGTTCAATCCAATGATCACTAAGAATTGTCTGTGAATGCTTCCGTTTGGTTTTTACATGAAGTTATTTCCTTTACTACAGTAGGCCTCAAAGCAGTCCAAATCTCCAATCGCAGATTCTACAAAAAGATTGTTTACAACCTGCTCTATCTATAGGAATGTTCAACTCTGTGAGTCGAATGCAATCATCACAAAGTAGTTTCTGAGAATGCTTCTATCTAGTTTTTATGTGAAGATATTTCCTTTTCCACCGCAGGCCTCAAAGCCCTCCAAATGTCCACTTGCACATTCTTGAAAAAGAGTGTTTCATAGCTGCTCTTTCAAGAGGAAAGTTCAACTCTGGAAGTTGAACACAAACATCACAAAGTAGTTTCTGAGAATGCTTCTGTTTAGTTTTTCTGTGAAGATGAACCCGTTTCCAACGAAATCTTCACAGAGGTCCACATATCCACTTGCAGAATCCAAAGAAAGAGAGTTTCAAAACTGTTCCATCAACAGGATTGTTCACCTCTGTGAGTTGAATGCAGTCATCACAGGAAACATTCTGAGAATGCTTCTGTCTAGGTTTGATGTGAAGATATACCCGTTTCGAAGGAAGGCCACAAAGTGGTCCAAATATCCACTTGCAGATTCTACGAAAAGAGTGTTTGAAAGCTGAACTATGAAAGCAAGGTTCAACTCTGTGAGTTGAATGCAAACATCACAAAGATGTTTCTCAGAATGCTTTCCGTGTAGTTCTGGGAAGTTTATCCCGTTTCCAACGAAATCCTCAGAGAGGTCCAAATATCCACTTGCAGATTCTACAGAAAACGTGTTTGGAAACTGCGCCATCTAAGGGAATGTTCAGCTCTGTTAGTTCAATCCAATGATCACTAAGAATTTTCTGTGAATGCTTCCGTTTGGTTTTTAGATGAAGTTATTTCCTTTACTACAGTAGGCCTCAAAGCAGTCCAAATCTCCAATCGCAGATTCTACAAAAAGATTGTTTACAACCTGCTCTATCTATAGGAATGTTCAACTATGTGAGTCGAATGCAATCATCACAAAGTAGTTTCTGAGAATGCTTCCATCTAGTTTTTATGTGAAGATTTTCCTTTTCCACCACAGGCCTCAAATCCCTCCAAATGTCCACTTTCAGATTCTAGAAAAAGAGGGTTTCAGAGCTGCTCTGTCAAGAGGAAAGTTCAATTCTTGAAGTGGAACACAAACATCACAAAGCAGTTTCTGAGAATGCTTCTGTTTAGTTTTTCTGTGAAGATGAACCCGTTTCCAACGAAATCTTCACAGAGGTCCACATATCCACTTGCAGAATCCAAAGAAAGAGAGTTTCAAAACTGCTCCATCAGCAGGATTGTTCACCTCTGTGAGTTGAATGCAGTCATCACAGGAAACATTCTGAGAATGCTTCTGTCTAGGTTTGATGTGAAGATATACCCGTTTCGAAGGAAGGCCACCACCAAGTGGTCCAAATATCCACTTGCAGATCCTACAAAAAGAGTGTTTGAAAGCTGAACTATGAAAGCAAGGTTCAACTCTGTGAGTTGAATGCAAACATCACAAAGAAGTTTCTCAGAATGCTTCCGTGTAGTTCTGGGAAGTTTATCCCGTTTCCAACGAAATCCTCAGAGAAGTCCAAATATCCACTTGCAGATTCTACAGAAAGTGTGTTTGGAAACAGCGCCATCTAAAGGAGTGTTCAGCTCTGTTAGTTCAATCCAATGATCACTAAGAATTGTCTGTGAATGCTTCCGTTTGGTTTTTAGATGAAGTTATTTCCTTTACTACAGTAGGCCTCAAAGCAGTCCAAATCTCCAATCGCAGATTCTACAAAAAGATTGTTTACAACCTGCTCTATCTATAGGAATGTTCAACTCTGTGAGTCGAATGCAATCATCACAAAGTAGTTTCTGAGAATGCTTCCATCTAGTTTTTATGGGAAGATTTTCCTTTTCCACCACAGGCCTCAAAGCCCTCCAAATGTCCACTTGCAGATTCTAGAAAAAGAGGGTTTCAGAGCTGCTCTGTCAAGAGGAAAGTTCAATTCTTGAAGTGGAACACAAACATCACAAAGCAGTTTCTGAGAATGCTTCTGTTTAGTTTTTCTGTGAAGATGAACCCGTTTCCAACGAAATCTTCACAGAGGTCCACATATCCACTTGCAGAATCCAAAGAAAGAGAGTTTCAAAACTGCTCCATCAGCAGGATTGTTCACCTCTGTGAGTTGAATGCAGTCATCACAGGAAACATTCTGAGAATGCTTCTGTCTAGGTTTGATGTGAAGATATACCCGTTTCGAAGGAAGGCCACAAAGTGGTCCAAATATTCACTTGCAGATTCTACAAAAAGAGTGTTTGAAAGCTGAACTATGAAAGCAAGGTTCAACTCTGTGAGTTGAATGCAAACATCACAAAGAAGTTTCTCACAATGCTTCCGTGTAGTTCTGGGAAGTTTATCCTGTTTCCAACGAAATCCTCAGAGAGGTCCAAATATCCACTTGCAGATTCTACAGAAAGTGTGTTTGGAAACTGTGCCATCTAAAGGAATGTTCAGCTCTGTTAGTTAAATCCAATGATCACTAAGAATTGTCTGTGAATGCTTTCGTTTGGTTTTTAGATGAAGTTATTTCCTTTACTACAGTAGGCCTCAAAGCAGTCCAAATCTCCAATCGCAGATTCTACAAAAAGATTGTTTACAACCTGCTCTATCTATAGGAATGTTCAACTCTGTGAGTCGAATGCAATCATCACAAAGTAGTTTCTGAGAATGCTTCCATCTAGTTTTTATGTGAAGATTTTCCTTTTCCACCACAGGCCTCAAAGCCCTCCAAATGTCCACTTGCAGATTCTAGAAAAAGAGGGTTTCAGAGCTGCTCTGTCAAGAGGAAAGTTCAATTCTTGAAGTGGAACACAAACATCACAAAGCAGTTTCTGAGAATGCTCCTGTTTAGTTTTTCTGTGAAGATGAACCCGTTTCCAACGAAATCTTCACAGAGGTCCACATATCCACTTGCAGAATCCAAAGAAAGAGAGTTTCAAAACTGCTCCATCAGCAGGATTGTTCACCTCTGTGAGTTGAATGCAGTCATCACAGGAAGCATTCTGAGAATGCTTCTGTCTAGGTTTGATGTGAAGATATACCCGTTTCGAAGGAAGGCCACAAAGTGGTCCAAATATCCACTTGCAGATTCCACAAAAAGAGTGTTTGAAAGCTGAACTATGAAAGCAAGGTCAACTCTGTGAGTTGAATGCAAACATCACAAAGAAGTTTCTCAGCATGCTTCCGTGTAGTTCTGGGAAGTTTATCCCGTTTCCAACGAAATCCTCAGAGAAGTCCAAATATCCACTTGCAGATTCTACAGAAAGTGGGTTTGGCAACTGCTCCATCTAAAGGAATGTTCAGCTCTGTTAGTTCAATCCAATGATCACTAAGAATTGTCTGTGAATGCTTCCGTTTGGTTTTTAGATGAAGTTATTTCCTTTACTACAGTAGGCCTCAAAGCAGTCCAAATCTCCAATCGCAGATTCTACAAAAAGATTGTTTACAACCTGCTCTATCTATAGGAATGTTCAACTCTGTGAGTCGAATGCAATCATCACAAAGTAGTTTCTGAGAATGCTTCCATCTAGTTTTTATGTGAAGATTTTCCTTTTCCACCACAGGCCTCAAAGCCCTCCAAATGTCCACTTGCAGATTCTAGAATAAGAGGGTTTCAGAGCTGCTCTGTCAAGAGGAAAGTTCAATTCCTGAAGTGGAACACAAACATCACAAAGCAGTTTCTGAGAATGCTTCTGTTTAGTTTTTCTGTGAAGATGAACCCGTTTCCAACGAAATCTTCACAGAGGTCCACATATCCACTTGTAGAATCCAAAGAAAGAGAGTTTCAAAACTCCTCCATCAGCAGGATTGTTCACCTCTGTGAGTTGAATGCAGTCATCACAGGCAACATTCTGAGAATGCTTCTGTCTAGGTTTGATGTGAAGATATACCCGTTTCGAAGGAAGGCCACAAAGTGGTCCAAATATCCACTTGCAGATTCTACAAAAAGAGTGTTTGAAAGCTGAACTATGAAAGCAAGGTTCAACTCTGTGAGTTGAATGCAAACATCACAAAGAAGTTTCTCAGAATGCTTCCATGTAGTTCTGGGAAGTTTATCCCTTTTCCAACGAAATCCTCAGAGAGGTCCAAATATCCACTTGCAGATTCTACAGAAAGTGTGTTTGGAAACTGCTCCATCTAAGGGAATGTTCAGCTCTGTTAGTTCAATCCAATGATCACTAAGAATTGTCTGTGAATGCTTCCGTTTGGTTTTTAGATGAAGTTATTTCCTTTACTACAGTAGGCCTCAAAGCAGTCCAAATCTCCAATCGCAGATTCTACAAAAAGATTGTTTACAACCTGCTCTATCTATAGGAATGTTCAACTCTGTGAGTCGAATGCAATCATCACAAAGTAGTTTCTGAGAATGCTTCCATCTAGTTTTTATGTGAAGATTTTCCTTTTCCACCACAGGCCTCAAAGCCCTCCAAATGTCCACTTGCAGATTCTAGAAAAAGAGGGTTTCAGAGCTGCTCTGTCAAGAGGAAAGTTCAATTCTTGAAGTGGAACACAAACATCACAAAGCAGTTTCTGAGAATGCTCCTGTTTAGTTTTTCTGTGAATATGAACCCGTTTCCAACGAAATCTTCACAGAGGTCCACATATCCACTTGCAGAATCCAAAGAAAGAGAGATTCAAAACTGCTCCATCAACAGGATTGTTCACCTCTGTGAGTTGAATGCAGTCATCACAGGAAACATTCTGAGAATGCTTCTGTCTAGGTTTGATGTGAAGATATACCCGTTTCGAAGGAAGGCCACAAAGTGGTCCAAATATCCACTTGCAGATTCTACAAAAAGAGTGTTTGAAAGCTGAACTATGAAAGCAAGGTTCAACTCTGTGAGTTGAATGCAAACATCACAAAGAAGTTTCTCAGAATGCTTCCGTGTAGTTCTGGGAAGTTTATCCCGTTTCCAACGAAATCCTCAGAGAAGTCCAAATATCCACTTGCAGATTCTACAGAAAGTGTGTTTGGAAACTGCTCCATCTAAAGGAATGTTCAGCTCTGTTAGTTCAATCCAGTGATCACTAAGAATTGTCTGTGAATGCTTCCGTTTGGTTTTTAGATGAAGTTATTTCCTTTACTACAGTAGGCCTCAAAGCAGTCCAAATTTCCAATCGCAGATTGTACAAAAACATTGTTTACAACCTGCTCTATCTATAGTAATGTTCAACTCTGTGAGTCGAATGCAATCATCACAAAGTAGTTTCTGAGAATGCTTCCATCTAGTTTTTATGTGAAGATTTTCCTTTTCCACCACAGGCCTCAAAGCCCTCCAAATGTCCACTTGCAGATTCTAGAAAAAGAGGGTTTCAGAGCTGCTCTGTCAAGAGGAAAGTTCAATTCTTGAAGTGGAACACAAACATCACAAAACAGTTTCTGAGAATGCTTCTGTTTAGTTTTTCTGTGAAGATGAACCCGTTTCCAACGAAATCTTCACAGAGGTCCACATATCCACTTGCAGAATCCAAAGAAAGAGAGTTTCAAAACTGCTCCATCAGCAGGATTGTTCACCTCTGTGAGTTGAATGCAGTCATCACAGGAAACATTCTGAGAATGCTTCTGTCTAGGTTTGATGTGAAGATATACCCGTTTCGAAGGAAGGCCACAAAGTGGTCCAAATATCCACTTGCAGATTCTACAAAAAGAGTGTTTGAAAGCTGAACTATGAAAGCAAGGTTCAACTCTGTGAGTTGAATGCAAACATCACAAAGAAGTTTCTCACAATGCTCTGTGTAGTTCTGGGAAGTTTATCCCGTTTCCAACGAAATCCTCAGAGAAGTCCAAATATCCACTTGCAGATTCTACAGAAAGTGGGTTTGGAAACTGCTCCATCTAAAGGAATGTTCAGCTCTGTTAGTTCAATCCAATGATCACTAAGAATTGTCTGTGAATGCTTCCATTTGGTTTTTAGATGAAGTTATTTCCTTTACTACAGTAGGCCTCAAAGCAGTCCAAATCTCCAATCGCAGATTCTACAAAAAGATTGTTTACAACCTGCTCTATCTATAGGAATGTTCAACTCTGTGAGTCGAATGCAATCATCACAAAGTAGTTTCTGAGAATGCTTCCATCTAGTTTTTATGTGAAGATTTTCCTTTTCCACCACAGGCCTCAAAGCCCTCCAAATGTCCACTTGCAGATTCTAGAATAAGAGGATTTCAGAGCTGCTCTGTCAAGAGGAAAGTTCAATTCCTGAAGTGGAACACAAACATCACAAAGCAGTTTCTGAGAATGCTTCTGTTTAGTTTTTCTGTGAAGATGAACCCGTTTCCAACGAAATCTTCACAGAGGTCCACATATCCACTTGCACAATCCAAAGAAAGAGAGTTTCAAAACTGCTCCATCAGCAGGATTGTTCACCTCTGTGAGTTGAATGCAGTCATCACAGGAAACATTCTGAGAATGCTCCGTCTAGGTTTGATGTGAAGATATACCCGTTTCGAAGGAAGGCCACAAAGTGGTCCAAATATCCACTTGCAGATTCTACAAAAAGAGTGTTTGAAAGCTGAACTATGAAAGCAAGGTTCAACTCTGTGAGTTGAACGCAAACATCACAAAGAAGTTTCTCAGAATGCTTCCGTGTAGTTCTGGGAAGTTTATCCCGTTTCCAACGAAATCCTCAGAGAGGTCCAAATATCCACTTGCAGATTCTACAGAAAGTGTGTTTGGAAACTGCGCCATCTAAAGGAATGTTCAGCTCTGTTAGTTCAATGCAATGATCACTAAGTATTGTCTGTGAATGCTTCCGTTTCGTTTTTAGATGAAGTTATTTCCTTTACTACAGTAGGCCTCAAAGCAGTCCAAATCTCCAATCGCAGATTCTACAAAAAGATTGTTTACAACCTGCTCTGTCTATAGGAATGTTCAACTCTGTGAGTCGAATGCAATCATCACAAAGTAGTTTCTGAGAATGCTTCCATCTAGTTTTTATGTGAAGATTTTCCTTTTCCACCACAGGCCTCAAAGCCCTCCAAATGTCCACTTGCAGATTCTAGAATAAGAGGGTTTCAGAGCTGCTCTGTCAAGAGGAAAGTTCAATTCCTGAAGTGGAACACAAACATCACAAAGCAGTTTCTGAGAATGCTTCTGTTTAGTTTTTCTGTGAAGATGAACCCGTTTCCAACGAAATCTTCACAGAGGTCCACATATCAACTTGCAGAATCCAAAGAAAGAGAGTTTCAAAAGTGCTCCATCAACAGGATTGTTCACCTCTGTGAGTTGAATGCAGTCATCACAGGAAACATTCTGAGAATGCTTCTGTCTAGGTTTGATGTGAAGATATACCCGTTTCGAAGGAAGGCCACAAAGTGGTCCAAATATCCACTTGCAGATTCTACAAAAAGAGTGTTTGAAAGCTGAACTATGAAAGCAAGGTTCAACTCTGTGAGTTGAATGCAAACATCACAAAGAAGTTTCTCAGAATGCTTCCGTGTAGTTCTGGGAAGTTTATCCCGTTTCCAACGAAATCCTCAGAGAAGTCCAAATATCCACTTGCAGATTCTACAGAAAGTGTGTTTGGAAACTGCGCCATCTAAAGGAATGTTCAGCTCTGTTAGTTCAATCCAATGATCACTAAGAATTGTCTGTGAATGCTTCCGTTTGGTTTTTAGATGAAGTTATTTCCTTTACTACAGTAGGCCTCAAAGCAGTCCAAATCTCCAATCGCAGATTCTACAAAAAGATTGTTTACAACCTGCTCTATCTATAGGAATGTTCAACTCTGTGAGTCGAATGCAATCATCACAAAGTAGTTTCTGAGAATGCTTCCATCTAGTTTTTATGTGAAGATTTTCCTTTTCCACCACAGGCCTCAAAGCCCTCCAAATGTCCACTTGCAGATTCTAGAAAAAGAGGGTTTCAGAGCTGCTCTGTCAAGAGGAAAGTTCAATTCTTGAAGTGGAACACAAACATCACAAAGCAGTTTCTGAGAATGCTCCTGTTTAGTTTTTCTGTGAAGATGAACCCGTTTCCAACGAAATCTTCACAGAGGTCCACATATCCACTTGCAGAATCCAAAGAAAGAGAGTTTCAAAACTGCTCCATCAGCAGGATTGTTCACCTCTGTGAGTTGAATGCAGACATCACAGGAAACATTCTGAGAATGCTTCTGTCTAGGTTTGATGTGAAGATATACCCGTTTCGAAGGAAGGCCACAAAGTGGTCCAAATATCCACTTTCTGTAGATTCTACAAAAAGAGTGTTTGAAAGCTGAACTATGAAAGCAAGGTTCAACTCTGTGAGTTGAATGCAAACATCACAAAGAAGTTTCTCAGAATGCTTCCGTGTAGTTCTGGGAAGTTTATCCCGTTTCCAACGAAATCCTCAGAGAGGTCCAAATATCCACTTGCAGATTCTACAGAAAGTGTGTTTGGAAACTGCTCCATCTAAAGGAATGTTCAGCTCTGTTAGTTCAATCCAATGATCACTAAGAATTGTCTGTGAATGCTTCCGTTTGGTTTTTAGATGAAGTTATTTCCTTTACTACAGTAGGCCTCAAAGCAGTCCAAATCTCCAATCGCAGATTCTACAAAAAGATTGTTTACAACCTGCTCTATCTATAGGAATGTTCAACTCTGTGAGTCGAATGCAATCATCACAAAGTAGTTTCTGAGAATGCTTCCATCTAGTTTTTATGTGAAGATTTTCCTTTTCCACCACAGGCCTCAAAGCCCTCCAAATGTCCACTTGCAGATTCTAGAAAAAGAGGGTTTCAGAGCTGCTCTGTCAAGAGGAAAGTTCAATTCTTGAAGTGGAACACAAACATCACAAAGTAGTTTCTGAGAATGCTTCTGTTTAGTTTTTCTGTGAAGATGAACCCGTTTCCAACGAAATCTTCACAGAGGTCCACATATCAACTTGCAGAATCCAAAGAAAGAGAGTTTCAAAAGTGCTCCATCAACAGGATTGTTCACCTACTGTGAGTTGAATGCAGTCATCACAGGAAACATTCTGAGAATGCTTCTGTCTAGGTTTGATGTGAAGATATACCCGTTTCGAAGGAAGGCCACAAAGTGGTCCAAATATCCACTTGCAGATTCCACAAAAAGAGTGTTTGAAAGCTGAACTATGAAAGCAAGGTTCAACTCTGTGAGTTGAATGCTAACATCACAGAGAAGTTTCTCACAATGCTTCCGTGTAGTTCTGGGAAGTTTATCCCGTTTCCAACGAAATCCTCAGAGAAGTCCAAATATCCACTTCCAGATTCTACAGAAAGTGTGTTTGGAAACTGCGCCGTCTAAAGCAATGTTCAGCTCTGTTAGTTCAATGCAATGATCACTAAGAATTGTCTGTGAATGCTTCCGTTTGGTTTTTAGATGAAGTTATTTCCTTTACTACAGTAGGCCTCAAAGCAGTCCAAATCTCCAATCGCAGATTCTACAAAAAGATTGTTTACAACCTGCTCTATCTATAGGAATGTTCAACTCTGTGAGTCGAATGCAATCATCACAAAGTAGTTTCTGAGAATGCTTCCATCTAGTTTTTATGTGAAGATTTTCCTTTTCCACCACAGGCCTGAAAGCCCTCAAAATGTCCACTTGCAGATTCTAGAAAAAGAGGGTTTCAGAGCTGCTCTGTCAAGAGAAAAGTTCAATTCTTGAAGTGGAACACAAACATCACAAAGCAGTTTCTGAGAATGCTTCTGTTTAGTTTTTCTGTGAAGATGAACCCGTTTCCAACGAAATCTTCACAGAGGTCCACATATCCACTTGCAGAATCCAAAGAAAGAGAGTTTCAAAACTGCTCCATCAGCAGGATTGTTCACCTCTGTGAGTTGAATGCAGTCATCACAGGAAACATTCTGAGAATGCTTCTGTCTAGGTTTGATGTGAAGATATACCCGTTTCGAAGGAAGGCCACAAAGTGGTCCAAATATCCACTTGCAGATTCTACAAAAAGAGTGTTTGAAAGCTGAACTATGAAAGCAAGGTTCAACTCTGTGAGTTGAATGCAAACATCACAAAGAAGTTTCTCAGAATGCTTCCGTGTAGTTCTGGGAAGTTTATCCCGTTTCCAACGAAATCCTCAGAGAAGTCCAAATATCCACTTGCAGATTCTACAGAAAGTGTGTTTGGAAACTGCTCCATCTAAAGGAATGTTCAGCTCTGTTAGTTCAATCCAGTGATCACTAAGAATTGTCTGTGAATGCTTCCGTTTGGTTTTTAGATGAAGTTATTTCCTTTACTACAGTAGGCCTCAAAGCAGTCCAAATCTCCAATCGCAGATTCTACAAAAACATTGTTTACAACCTGCTCTATCTATAGGAATGTTCAACTCTGTGAGTCGAATGCAATCATCACAAAGTAGTTTCTGAGAATGCTTCCATCTAGTTTTTATGTGAAGATTTTCCTTTTGCACCACAGGCCTCAAAGCCCTCCAAATGTCCACTTGCAGATTCTAGAAAAAGAGGGTTTCAGAGCTGCTCTGTCAAGAGGAAAGTTCAATTCTTGATGTGGAACACAAACATCACAAAGCAGTTTCTGAGAATGCTTCTGTTTAGTTTTTCTGTGAAGATGAACCCGTTTCCAACGAAATCTTCACAGAGGTCCACATATCCACTTGCAGAATCCAAAGAAAGAGAGTTTCAAAACTGCTCCATCAGCAGGATTGTTCACCTCTGTGAGTTGAATGCAGTCATCACAGGAAACATTCTGAGAATGCTTCTGTCTAGGTTTGAAGTGAAGATATACCCGTTTCGAAGGAAGGCCACAAAGTGGTCCAAATATCCACTTGCAGATTCTACAAAAAGAGTGTTTGAAAGCTGAACTATGAAAGCAAGGTTCAACTCTGTGAGTTGAATGCAAACATCACAAAGAAGTTTCTCAGCATGCTTCCGTGTAGTTCTGGGAAGTTTATCCCGTTTCCAACGAAATCCTCAGAGAGGTCCAAATATCCACTTGCAGATTCTACAGAAAGTGTGTTTGGAAACTGCGCCATCTAAACGAATGTTCAGCTCTGTTAGTTCAATGCAATGATCACTAAGAATTGTCTGTGAATGCTTCCGTTTGGTTTTTAGATGAAGTTATTTCCTTTACTACAGTAGGCTTCAAAGCAGTCCAAATCTCCAATCGCAGATTCTACAAAAAGATTGTTTACAACCTGCTTTATCTATAGGAATGTTCAACTCTGTGAGTCGAATGCAATCATCACAAAGTAGTTTCTGAGAATGCTTCCATCTAGTTTTTATGTGAAGATTTTCCTTTTCCACCACAGGCCTCAAAGCCCTCCAAATGTCCACTTGCAGATTCTAGAATAAGAGGGTTTCAGAGCTGCTCTGTTAAGAGGAAAGTTCAGTTCCTGAAGTGGAACACAAACATCACAAAGCAGTTTCTGAGAATGCTTCTGTTTAGTTTTTCTGTGAAGATGAACCCGTTTCCAACGAAATCTTCACAGAGGTCCACATATCCACTTGCAGAATCCAAAGAAAGAGAGTTTCAAAACTGCTCCATCAGCAGGATTGTTCACCTCTGTGAGTTGAATGCAGTCATCACAGGAAACATTCTGAGAATGCTTCTGTCTAGGTTTGATGTGAAGATATACCCGTTTCGAAGGAAGGCCACAAAGTAGTCCAAATATCCACTTGCAGATTCTACAAAAAGAGTGTTTGAAAGCTGAACTATGAAAGCAAGGTTCAACTCTGTGAGTTGAATGAAAACATCACAAAGAAGTTTCTCACAATGCTTCCGTGTAGTTCTGGGAAGTTTATCCCGTTTCCAACGAAATCCTCAGAGAAGTCCAAATATCCACTTGCAGATTCTACAGAAAGTGTGTTTGGAAAATGCTCCATCTAAAGGAATGTTCAGCTCTGTTAGTTCAATGCAATGATCACTAAGAATTGTCTGTGAATGCTTCCGTTTGGTTTTTAGATGAAGTTATTTCCTTTACTACAGTAGGCCTCAAAGCAGTCCAAATCTCCAATCGCAGATTCTACAAAAAGATTGTTTACAACCTGCTCTATCTATAGGAATGTTCAACTCTGTGAGTCGAATGCAATCATCACAAAGTAGTTTCTGAGAATGCTTCCATCTAGTTTTTATGTGAAGATTTTCCTTTTCCACCACAGGCCTCAAAGCCCTCCAAATGTCCACTTGCAGATTCTAGAAAAAGAGGGTTTCAGAGCTGCTCTGTCAAGAGGAAAGTTCAATTCTTGAAGTGGAACACAAACATCACAAAGCAGTTTCTGAGAATGCTTCTGTTTAGTTTTTCTGTGAAGATGAACCCGTTTCCAACGAAATCTTCACATAGGTCCACATATCAACTTGCAGAATCCAAAGAAAGAGAGTTTCAAAACTGCTCCATCAACAGGATTGTTCACCTCTGTGAGTTGAATGCAGTCATCACAGGAAACATTCTGAGAATGCTTCTGTCTAGGTTTGATGTGAAGATATACCCGTTTCGAAGGAAGGCCACAAAGTGGTCCAAATATCCACTTGCAGATTCTACAAAAAGAGTGTTTGAAAGCTGAACTATGAAAGCAAGGTTCAACTCTGTGAGTTGAATGCAAACATCACAAAGAAGTTTCTCAGAATGCTTTTCCGTGTAGTTCTGGGAAGTTTATCCCGTTTCCAACGAAATCCTCAGAGAGCTCCAAATATCCAGTGGCAGATTCTACAGAAAGTGTGTTTGGAAACTGCTCCATCTAAAGGAATGTTCAGCTCTGTTAGTTCAATCCAATGATCACTAAGAATTGTCTGTGAATGCTTCCGTTTGGTTTTTAGATGAAGTTATTTCCTTTACTACAGTAGGCCTCAAAGCAGTCCAAATCTCCAATCGCAGATTCTACAAAAAGATTGTTTACAACCTGCTCTATCTATAGGAATGTTCAACTCTGTGAGTCGAATGCAATCATCACAAAGTAGTTTCTGAGAATGCTTCCATCTAGTTTTTATGTGAAGATTTTCCTTTTCCACCACAGGCCTCAAAGCCCTCCAAATGTCCACTTGCATATTCTAGAATAAGAGGGTTTCAGAGCTGCTCTGTCAAGAGGAAAGTTCAATTCTTGAAGTGGAACACAAACATCACAAAGCAGTTTCTGAGAATGCTCCTGTTTAGTTTTTCTGTGAAGATGAACCCGTTTCCAACGAAATCTTCACAGAGGTCCACATATCCACTTGCAGAATCCAAAGAAAGAGAGTTTCAAAACTGCTCCATCAGAAGGATTGTTCACCTCTGTGAGTTGAATGCAGTCATCACAGGAAACATTCTGAGAATGCTTCTGTCTAGGTTTGATGTGAAGATATACCCTTTTCAAAGGAAGGCCACAAAGTGGTCCAAATATCCACTTGCAGATTCTACAAAAAGAGTGTTTGAAAGCTGAACTATGAAAGCAAGGTTCAACTCTGTGAGTTGAATGCAAACATCACAAAGAAGTTTCTCAAAATGCTTCCGTGTAGTTCTGGGAAGTTTATCCCGTTTCCAACGAAATCCTCAGAGAAGTCCAAATATCCACTTGCAGATTCTACAGAAAGTGGGTTTGGCAACTGCTCCATCTAAAGGAATGTTCAGCTTTGTTAGTTCAATCCAATGATCACTAAGAATTGTCTGTGAATGCTTCCATTTGGTTTTTAGATGAAGTTATTTCCTTTACTACAGTAGGCCTCAAAGCAATCCAAATCTCCAATCGCAGATTCTACAAAAACATTGTTTACAACCTGCTCTATCTATAGGAATGTTCAACTCTGTGAGTCGAATGCAATCATCACAAAGTAGTTTCTGAGAATGCTTCCATCTAGTTTTTATGTGAAGATTTTCCTTTTCCACCACAGGCCTCAAAGCCCTCCAAATGTCCACTTGCAGATTCTAGAAAAAGAGGGTTTCAGAGCTGCTCTGTCAAGAGGAAAGTTCAATTCTTGAAGTGGAACACAAGCATCACAAAGCAGTTTCTGAGAATGCTTCTGTTTAGTTTTTCTGTGAAGATGAACGCGTTTCCAACGAAATCTTCACAGAGGTCCACATATCCACTTGCAGAATCCAAAGAAAGAGAGTTTCAAAACTGCTCCATCAGCAGGATTGTTCACCTCTGTGAGTTGAATGCAGTCATCACAGGAAACATTCTGAGAATGCTTCTGTCTAGGTTTGATGTGAAGATATACCCGTTTCGAAGGAAGGCCACAAAGTGGTCCAAATATCCACTTGCAGATTCTACAAAAAGAGTGTTTGAAAGCTGAACTATGAAAGCAAGGTTCAACTCTGTGAGTTGAATGCAAACATCACAAAGAAGTTTCTCACAATGCTTCCGTGTAGTTCTGGAAAGTTTATCCCGTTTCCAACGAAATCCTCAGAGAGGTCCAAATATCCAGTTGCAGATTCTACAGAAAGTGTGTTTG
The DNA here is from genome assembly GCF_000001405.40 of Homo sapiens. Classification (NCBI taxonomy): domain Eukaryota; kingdom Metazoa; phylum Chordata; class Mammalia; order Primates; family Hominidae; genus Homo; species Homo sapiens. The sequence continues at coordinate 53,178,081 of NC_000011.10, read as the reverse complement.
GAATCTGCTCCATCTAAAGGAATGTTCAGCTCTGTTAGTTCAATCCAATGATCACTAAGAATTGTCTGTGAATGCTTCCGTTTGGTTTTTAGATGAAGTTATTTCCTTTACTACAGTAGGCCTCAAAGCAGTCCAAATCTCCAATCGCAGATTCTACAAAAAGATTGTTTACAACCTGCTCTATCTATAGGAATGTTCAACTCTGTGAGTCGAATGCAATCATCACAAAGTAGTTTCTGAGAATGCTTCCATCTAGTTTTTATGTGAAGATTTTCCTTTTCCACCACAGGCCTCAAAGCCCTCCAAATGTCCACTTGCAGATTCTAGAAAAAGAGGGTTTCAGAGCTGCTCTGTCAAGAGGAAAGTTCAATTCTTGAAGTGGAACACAAACATCACAAAGCAGTTTCTGAGAATGCTCCTGTTTAGTTTTTCTGTGAAGATGAACTCGTTTCCAACGAAATCTTCACAGAGGTCCACATATCCACTTGCAGAATCCAAAGAAAGAGAGTTTCAAAACTGCTCCAACAGCAGGATTGTTCACCTCTGTGAGTTGAATGCAGTCATCACAGGAAACATTCTGAGAATGCTTCTGTCTAGGTTTGATGTGAAGATATACCCGTTTCGAAGGAAGGCCACAAAGTGGTCCAAATATCCACTTGCAGATTTTACAAAAAGAGTGTTTGAAAGCTGAACTATGAAAGCAAGTTTCAACTCTGTGAGTTGAATGCAAACATCACAAAGAAGTTTCTCAGAATGCTTCCGTGTAGTTCTGGGACGTTTATCCCGTTTCCAACGAAATCCTCAGAGAAGTCCAAATATCCACTTGCAGATTCTACAGAAAGTGGGTTTGGAAACTGCTCCATCTAAAGGAATGTTCAGCTCTGTTAGTTCAATGCAATGATCACTAAGAATTGTCTGTGAATGCTTCCGTTTGGTTTTTAGATGAAGTTATTTCCTTTACTACAGTAGGCCTCAAAGCAGTCCATATCTCCAATCGCAGATTCTACAAAAAGATTGTTTACAACCTGCTCTATCTATAGGAATGTTCAACTCCGTGAGTCGAATGCAATCATCCCAAAGTAGTTTCTGAGAATGCTTCCATCTAGTTTTTATGTGAAGATTTTCCTTTTCCACCACAGGCCTCAAAGCCCTCCAAATGTCCACTTGCAGATTATAGAAAAAGAGGGTTTCAGAGCTGCTCTGTCAAGAGGAAAGTTCAATTCCTGAAGTGGAACACAAACATCACAAAGCAGTTTCTGAGAATGCTTCTGTTTAGTTTTTCTGTGAAGATGAACCCGTTTCCAACGAAATCTTCACAGAGGTCCACATATCCACTTGCAGAATGCAAAGAAAGAGAGTTTCAAAACTGCTCCATCAACAGGATTGTTCATCTCTGTGAGTTGAATGCAGTCATCACAGGAAACATTCTGAGAATGCTTCTGTCTAGGTTTGATGTGAAGATATACCCGTTTCGAAGGAAGGCCACAAAGTGGTCCAAATATCCACTTGCAGATTCTACAAAAAGAGTGTTTGAAAGCTGAACTATGAAAGCAAGGTTCAACTCTGTGAGTTGAATGCAAACATCACAAAGAAGTTTCTCAGAATGCTTCCGTGTAGTTCTGGGAAGTTTATCCCGTTTCCAACGAAATCCTCAGAGAGGTCCAAATATCCACTTGCAGATTCTACAGAAAGTGTGTTTGGAAACTGCGCCATCTAAAGGAATGTTCAGCTCTGTTAGTTCAATGCAATGATCACTAAGAATTGTCTGTGAATGCTTCCGTTTGGTTTTTAGATGAAGTTATTTCCTTTAATACAGTAGGCCTCAAAGCAGTCCAAATCTCCAATCGCAGATTCTACAAAAAGATTGTTTACAACCTGCTCTATCTATAGGAATGTTCAACTCCGTGAGTCGAATGCAATCATCACAAAGTAGTTTCTGAGAATGCTTCCATCTAGTATTTATGTGAAGATTTTCCTTTTCCACCGCAGGCCTCAAAGCCCTCCAAATGTCCACTTGCAGATTCTAGAATAAGAGGGTTTCAGAGCTGCTCTGTCAAGAGGAAAGTTCAATTCTTTAAGTGGAACACAAACATCACAAAGCAGTTTCTGAGAATGCTTCTGTTTAGTTTTTCTGTGAAGATGATCCCGTTTCCAACGAAATCTTCACAGAGGTCCACATATCCACTTGCAGAATCCAAAGAAAGGGAGTTTCCAAACTGCTCCATCAGCAGGATTGTTCACCTCTGTGAGTTGAATGCAGTCATCACAGGAAACATTCTGAGAATGCTTCTGTCTAGGTTTGATGTGAAGATATACCCGTTTCGAAGGAAGGCCACAAAGTGGTCCAAATATCCACTTGCAGATTCTACAAAAAGAGTGTTTGAAAGCTGAACTATGAAAGCAAGGTTCAACTCCGTGAGTTGAATGCAAACATCACAAAGAAGTTTCTCACAATGCTTCCGTGTAGTTCTGGGAAGTTTATCCTGTTTCCAACGACATCCTCAGAGAGGTCCAAATATCCAGTTGCAGATTCTACAGAAAGTGTGTTTGGAAACTGCGCCATCTAAAGGAATGTTCAGCTCTGTTGGTTCAATCCAATGATCACTAAGAATTGTCTGTGAATGCTTCCGTTTGGTTTTTAGATGAAGTTATTTCCTTTACTACAGTAGGCCTCAAAGCAGTCCAAATCTCTAATCGCAGATTCTACAAAGAGATTGTTTACAACCTGCTCTCTCTATAGGAATGTTCAACTCTGTGAGTCGAATGCAATCATCACAAAGTAGTTTCTGAGAATGCTTCCATCTAGTTTTTATGTGAAGATTTTCCTTTTCCACCACAGGCCTCTAAGCCCTCCAAATGTCCACTTGCAGTTTCTAGAAAAAGAGGGTTGCAGAGCTGCTCTGTCAAGAGGAAAGTTCAATTCTTGAAGTGGAACACAAACATCACAAAGCAGTTTCTGAGAATGCTCCTGTTTAGTTTTTCTGTGAAGATGAACCCGTTTCCAACGAAATCTACACACAGGTCCACATATCCACTTGCACAATCCAAAGAAAGAGAGTTTCAAAACTGCTCCATCAGCAGGATTGTTCACCTCTGTGAGTTGAATGCAGTCATCACAGGAAACATTCTGAGAATGCTTCTGTCTAGGTTTGATGTGAAGATATACCCGTTTCGAAGGAAGGCCAGAAAGTGGTCCAAATATCCACTTGCAGATTCTACAAAAAGAGTGTTTGAAAGCTGAACTATGAAAGCAAGGTTCAACTCTGTGAGTTGAATGCAAACATCACAAAGAAGTTTCTCAGAATGCTTCCGTGTAGTTCTGGGAAGTTTATCCCGTTTCCAACGAAATCCTCAGAGAAGTCCAAATATCCACTTGCAGATTCTACAGAAAGTGGGTTTGGAAACTGCTCCATCTAAAGGAATGTTCAGCTCTGTTAGTTCAATCCAATGATCACTAAGAATTGTCTGTGAATGCTTCCGTTTGATTTTTAGATTAAGTTATTTCCTTTACTACAGTAGGCCTCAAAGCAGTCCAAATCTCCAATCGCAGATTCTACAAAAAGATTGTTTACAACCTGCTCTATCTATAGGAATGTTCAACTCTGTGAGTCGAATGCAATCATCACAAAGTAGTTTCTGAGAATGCTTCCATCTAGTTTTTATGTGAAGATTTTCCTTTTCCACCACAGGCCTCAAAGCCCTCCAAATGTCCACTTGCAGATTCTAGAAAAAGAGGGTTTCAGAGCTGCTCTGTCAAGAGGAAAGTTCAATTCTTGAAGTGGAACACAAACATCACAAAGCAGTTTCTGAGAATGCTCCTGTTTAGTTTTTGTGTGAAGATGAACCCGTTTCCAACGAAATCTTCACAGAGGTCCACATATCCACTTGCAGAATCCAAAGAAAGAGAGTTTCAAAACTGCTCCATCAGCAGGATTGTTCACCTCTGTGAGTTGAATGCAGTCATCACAGGAAACATTCTGAGAATGCTTCTGTCTAGGTTTGATGTGAAGATGTACCCGTTTCAAAGGAAGGCCACAAAGTGGTCCAAATATCCACTTGCAGATTCTACAAAAAGAGTGTTTGAAAGCTGAACTATGAAAGCAAGGTTCAACTCTGTGAGTTGAATGCAAACATCAGAAAGATGATTCTCACAATGCTTCCGTGTAGTTCTGGGAAGTTTATCCCGTTTCCAACGAAATCCTCAGAGAGGTCCAAATATCCACTTGCAGATTCTACAGAAACTGTGTTTGGAAACTGCTCCATCTAAAGGAATGTTCAGCTCTGTTAGTTCAATCCAATGATCACTAAGAATTGTCTGTGAATGCTTCCGTTTGGTTTTTAGATGAAGTAATTTCCTTTACTACAGTAGGCCTCAAAGCAGTCCAAATCTCCAATCGCAGATTCTACAAAAAGATTGTTTACAACCTGCTCTATCTATAGGAATGTTCAACTCTGTGAGTCGAATGCAATCATCACAAAGAAGTTTCTGAGAATGCTTCCATCTAGTTTTTATGTGAAGATTTTCCTTTTCCACCACAGGCCTCAAAGCCCTCCAAATGTCCACTTGCAGATTCTAGAAAAAGAGGGTTTCAGAGCTGCTCTGTCAAGAGGAAAGTTCAATTCCTGAAGTGGAACACAAACATCACAAAGCAGTTTCTGAGAATGCTCCTGTTTAGTTTTTCTGTGAAGATGAACCCGTTTCCAACGAAATCTTCACAGAGGTCCACATATCCACTTGCAGAATCCAAAGAAAGAGAGTTTCAAAACTGCTCCATCAGCAGGATTGTTCACCTCTGTGAGTTGAATGCAGTCATTACAGGAAACATTCTGAGAATGCTTCTGTCTAGGTTTGATGTGAAGATATACCCGTTTCGAAGGAAGGCCACAAAGTGGTCCAAATATCCACTTGCAGATTCTATAAAAAGAGTGTTTGAAAGCTGAACTATGAAAGCAAGGTTCAAACTCTGTGAGTTGAATGCAAACATCACAAAGAAGTTTCTCACAATGCTTCCGTGTAGTTCTGGGAAGTATATCCCGTTTCCAACGAAATCCTCAGACAAGTCCAAATATCCACTTGCAGATTCTACAGAAAGTGTGTTTGGAAACTGCTCCATCTAAAGGAATGTTCAGCTCTGTTAGTTCAATGCAATGATCACTAAGAATTGTCTGTGAATGCTTCCGTTTGGTTTTTAGATGAAGTTATTTCCTTTACTACAGTAGGCCTCAAAGCAGTCCAAATCTCCAATCGCAGATTCTACAAAAAGATTGTTTACAACCTGCTCTATCTATAGGAATGTTCAACTCTGTGAGTCGAATGCAATCATCACAAAGTAGTTTCTGAGAATGCTTCCATCTAGTTTTTATGGGAAGATTTTCCTTTTCCACCACAGGCCTCAAAGCCCTCCAAATGTCCACTTGCAGATTCTAGAAAAAGAGGGTTTCAGAGCTGCTCTGTCAAGAGGAAAGTTCAATTCTTGAAGTGGAACACAAACATCACAAAGCAGTTTCTGAGAATGCTTCTGTTTAGTTTTTCTGTGAAGATGAACCCGTTTCCAACGAAATCTTCACAGAGGTCCACATATCCACTTGCAGAATCCAAAGAAAGAGAGTTTCAAAACTGCTCCATCAGCAGGATTGTTCACCTCTGTGAGTTGAATGCAGTCATCACAGGAAACATTCTGAGAATGCTTCTGTCTAGGTTTGATGTGAAGATATACCCGTTTCGAAGGAAGGCCACAAAGTGGTCCAAATATCCACTTGCAGATTCTACAAAAAGAGTGTTTGAAAGCTGAACTATGAAAGCAAGGTTCAACTCTGTGAGTTGAATGCAAACATCACAAAGAAGTTTCTCACAATGCTTCCGTGTAGTTCTGGGAAGTTTATCCCGTTTCCAACGAAATCCTCAGAGAAGTCCGAATATCCACTTGCAGATTCTACAGAAAGTTTGTTTGGAAACTGCTCCATCTAAAGGAATGTTCAGCTCTGTTAGTTCAATCCAATGATCACTAAGAATTGTCTGTGAATGCTTCCGTTTGGTTTTTAGATGAAGTTATTTCCTTTACTACAGTAGGCCTCAAAGCAGTCCAAATCTCCAATCGCAGATTCTACAAAAAGATTGTTTACAACCTGCTCTATCTATAGGAATGTTCAACACTGTGAGTCGAATGCAATCATCACAAAGTAGTTTCTGAGAATGCTTCCATCTAGTTTTTATGTGAAGATTTTCCTTTTCCACCACAGGCCTCAAAGCCCTCCAAATGTCCACTTGCAGATTCTAGAAAAAGAGGGTTTCAGAGCTGCTCTGTCAAGAGGAAAGTTCAATTCTTGAAGTGGAACACAAACATCACAAAGTAGTTTCTGAGAATGCTCCTGTTTAGTTTTTCTGTGAAGATGAACCCGTTTCCAACGAAATCTACACAGAGGTCCACATATCCACTTGCAGAATCCAAAGAAAGAGAGTTTCAAAACTGCTCCATCAGCAGGATTGTTCACCTCTGTGAGTTGAATGCAGTCATCACAGGAAACATTCTGAGAATGCTTCTGTCTAGGTTTGATGTGAAGATATACCCGTTTCGAAGGAAGGCAACAAAGTGGTCCAAATATCCACTTGCAGATTCTACAAAAAGAGTGTTTGAAAGCTGAACTATGAAAGCAAGGTTCAACTCTGTGAGTTGAATGCAAACATAACAAAGAAGTTTCTCAGAATGCTTTCCGTGTAGTTCTGGGAAGTTTATCCCGTTTCCAACGAAATCCTCAGAGAAGTCCAAATATCCACTTGCAGATTCTACAGAAAGTGTGTTTGGAAACTGCTCCATCTAAAGGAATGTTCAGCTCTGTTAGTTCAATGCAATGATCACTAAGAATTGTCTGTGAATGCTTCCGTTTGGTTTTTAGATGAAGTTATTTCCTTTACTACAGTAGGCCTCAAAGCAGTCCAAATCTCCAATCGCAGATTCTACAAAAAGATTGTTTACAACCTGCTCTATCTATAGGAATGTTCAACTCTGTGAGTCGAATGCAATCATCACAAAGTAGTTTCTGAGAATGCTTCCATCTAGTTTTTATGTGAAGATTTTCCTTTTCCACCACAGGCCTCAAAGCCCTCCAAATGTCCACTTGCAGATTCTAGAAAAAGAGGGTTTCAGAGCTGCTCTGTCGAGAGGAAAGTTCAATTCTTGAAGTGGAACACAAACATCACAAAGCAGTTTCTGAGAATGCTCCTGTTTAGTTTTTCTGTGAAGATGAACCCGTTTCCAACGAAATCTTCACAGAGGTCCACATATCCACTTGCAGAATCCAAAGAAAGAGAGTTTCAAAACTGCTCCATCAGCAGGATTGTTCACCTCTGTGAGTTGAATGCAGTCATCACAGGAAACATTCTGAGAATGCTTCTGTCTAGGTTTGATGTGAAGATATACCCGTTTCGAAGGAAGGCCACAAAGTGGTCCAAATATCCACTTGCAGATTCTACAAAAAGAGTGTTTGAAAGCTGAACTATGAAAGCAAGGTTCAACTCTGTGAGTTGAATGCAAACATCACAAAGAAGTTTCTCAGAATGCTTCCGTGTAGTTCTGGGAAGTTTATCCCGTTTCCAACGATATCCTCAGAGAAGTCCAAATATCCACTTGCAGTTTCTACAGAAAGTGTGTTTGGAAACTGCTCCATCTAAAGGAATGTTCAGCTCTGTTAGTTCAATGCAATGATCACCAAGAATAGTCTGTGAATGCTTCGGTTTGGTTTTTAGATGAAGTTATTTCCTTTACTACAGTAGGCCTCAAAGCAGTCCAAATCTCCAATCGCAGATTCTACAAAAAGATTGTTTTCAACCTGCTCTATCTATAGGAATGTTCAACTCTGTGAGTCGAATGCAATCATCACAAAGTAGTTTCTGAGAATGCTTCCATCTAGTTTTTATGTGAAGATTTTCCTTTTCCACCACAGGCCTCAAAGCCCTCCAAATGTCCACTTGCAGATTCTAGAATAAGAGGGTTTCAGAGCTGCTCTGTCAAGAGGAAAGTTCAATTCCTGAAGTCGAACACAAACATCACAAAGCAGTTTCTGAGAATGCTTCTGTTTAGTTTTTCTGTGAAGATGAACCCGTTTCCAACGAAATCTTCACAGAGGTCCACATATCCACTTGCAGAATCCAAAGAAAGAGAGTTTCAAAACTGCTCCATCAGCAGGATTGTTCACCTCTGTGAGTTGAATGCAGTCATCACAGGAAACATTCTGAGAATGCTTCTGTCTAGGTTTGATGTGAAGATATACCCGTTTCGAAGGAAGGCCACAAAGTGGTCCAAATATCCACTTGCAGATTCTACAAAAAGAGTGTTTGAAAGCTGAACTATGAAAGCAAGGTTCAACTCTGTGAGTTGAATGCAAACATCACAAAGAAGTTTCTCAGAATGCTTCCGTGTAGTTCTGGGAAGTTTATCCCGTTTCCAACGAAATCCTCAGAGAAGTCCAAATATCCACTTGCAGATTCTACAGAAAGTGGGTTTGGAAACTGCTCCATCTAAAGGAATGTTCAGCTCTGTTAGTTCAATGCAATGATCACTAAGAATTGTCTGTGAATGCTTCCGTTTGGTTTTTAGATGAAGTTATTTCCTTTACTACAGTAGGCCTCAAAGCAGTCCAAATCTCCAATCGCAGATTCTACAAAAAGATTGTTTACAACCTGCTCTATCTATAGGAATGTTCAACTCTGTGAGTCGAATGCAATCATCACAAAGAAGTTTCTGAGAATGCTTCCATCTAGTTTTTATGTGAAGATTTTCCTTTTCCACCACAGGCCTCAAAGCCCTCCAAATGTCCACTTGCAGATTCTAGAAAAAGAGGGTTTCAGAGCTGCTCTGTCAAGAGGAAAGTTCAATTCTTGAAGTGGAACACAAACATCACAAAGCAGTTTCTGAGAATGCTCCTGTTTAGTTTTTCTGTGAAGATGAACCCGTTTCCAACGAAATCTTCACAGAGGTCCACATCTCCACTTGCAGAATCCAAAGAAAGAGAGTTTCAAAACTGCTCCATCAGCAGGATTGTTCACCTCTGTGAGTTGAATGCAGTCATCACAGGAAACATTCTGAGAATGCTTCTGTCTAGGTTTGATGTGAAGATATACCCGTTTCGAAGGAAGGCCACAAAGTGGTCCAAATATCCACTTGCAGATTCTACAAAAAGAGTGTTTGAAAGCTGAACTATGAAAGCAAGGTTCAACTCTGTGAGTTGAATGCAAACATCACAAAGAAGTTTCTCAGAATGCTTCCGTGTAGTTCTGGGAAGTTTATCCCGTTTCCAACGAAATCCTCAGAGAGGTCCAAATATCCACTTGCAGATTCTACAGAAAGTGTGTTTGGAAACTGCGCCATCTAAAGGAATGTTCAGCTCTGTTAGTTCAATGCAATGATCACTAAGAATTGTCTGTGAATGCTTCCGTTTGGTTTTTAGATGAAGTTATTTCCTTTACTACAGTAGGCCTCAAAGCAGTCCAAATCTCCAATCGCAGATTCTACAAAAAGATTGTTTACAACCTGCTCTATGTATAGGAATGTTCAACTCTGTGAGTCGAATGCAATCATCACAAAGTAGTTTCTGAGAATGCTTCCATCTAGTTTTTATGGGAAGATTTTCCTTTTCCACCACAGGCCTCAAAGCCCTCCAAATGTCCACTTGCAGATTCTAGAAAAAGAGGGTTTCAGAGCTGCTCTGTCAAGAGGAAAGTTCAATTCTTGAAGTGGAACACAAACATCACAAAGCAGTTTCTGAGAATGCTTCTGTTTAGTTTTTCTGTGAAGATGAACCCGTTTCCAACGAAATCTTCACAGAGGTCCACATATCCACTTGCAGAATCCAAAGAAAGAGAGTTTCAAAACTGCTCCATCAGCAGGATTGTTCACCTCTGGGAGTTGAATGCAGTCATCACAGGAAACATTCTGAGAATGCTTCTGTCTAGGTTTGATGTGAAGATATACCCGTTTCGAAGGAAGGCCACAAAGTGGTCCAAATATCCACTTGCAGATTCTACAAAAAGAGTGTTTGAAAGCTGAACTATGAAAGCAAGGTTCAACTCTGTGAGTTGAATGCAAACATCACAAAGAAGTTTCTCACAATGCTTCCGTGTAGTTCTGGGAAGTTTATCCCTTTTCTAACGAAATCCTCAGAGAGGTCCAAATATCCACTTGCAGATTCTACAGAAAGTGTGTTTGGAAACTACGCCATCTAAAGGAATGTTCAGCTCTGTTAGTTCAATGCAATGATCACTAAGAATTGTCTGTGAATGCTTCCGTTTGGTTTTTAGATGAAGTTATTTCCTTTACTACTGTAGGCCTCAAAGCAGTCCAAATCTCCAATCCCAGATTCTACAAAAAGATTGTTTACAACCTGCTCTATCTATAGGAATGTTCAACTCTGTGAGTCGAATGCAATCATCACAAAGTAGTTTCTGAGAATGCTTCCATCTAGTTTTTATGTGAAGATTTTCCTTTTCCACCACAGGCCTCAAAGCCCTCCAAATGTCCACTTGCAGATTCTAGAAAAAGAGGGTTTCAGAGCTGCTCTGTCAAGAGGAAAGTTCAATTCTTGAAGTGGAACACAAACATCACAAAGTAGTTTCTGAGAATGCTTCTGTTTAGTTTTTCTGTGAAGATGAACCCGTTTCCAACGAAATCTTCACAGAGGTCCACATATCCACTTGCAGAATCCAAAGAAAGAGAGTTTCAAAACTGCTCCATCAGCAGGATTGTCCACCTCTGTGAGTTGAATGCAGTCATCACAGGAAACATTCTGAGAATGCTTCTGTCTAGGTTTGATGTGAAGATATACCCGTTTCGAAGGAAGGCCACAAAGTGGTCCAAATATCCACTTGCAGATTCTACAAAAAGAGTGTTTGAAAGCTGAACTATGAAAGCAAGGTTCAACTCTGTGAGTTGAATGCAAACATCACAAAGAAGTTTCTCAGAATGCTTCCGTGTAGTTCTGGTAAGTTTATCCCGTTTCCAACGAAATCCTCAGAGAGGTCCAAATATGCACTTGCAGATTCTACAGAAAGTGTGTTTGGAAACTGCGCCATCTAAAGGAATGTTCAGCTCTGTTAGTTCAATGCAATGATCACTAAGAATTGTCTGTGAATGCTTCCGTTTGGTTTTTAGATGAAGTTATTTCCTTTACTACAGTAGGCCTCAAGGCAGTCCAAATCTCCAATCGCAGATTCTACAAAAAGATTGTTTACAACCTGCTCTATCTATAGGAATGTTCAACTCTGTGAGTCGAATGCAATCATCACAAAGGAGTTTCTGAGAATGCTTCCATCTAGTTTTTATGTGAAGATTTTCCTTTTCCACCACAGGCCTCAAAGCCCTCCAAATGTCCACTTGCAGATTCTAGAATAAGAGGGTTTCAGAGCTGCTCTGTCAAGAGGAAAGTTCAATTCCTGAAGTGGAACACAAACATCACAAAGCAGTTTCTGAGAATGCTCCTGTTTAGTTTTTCTGTGAAGATGAACCCGTTTCCAACGAAATCTTCACAGAGGTCCACATATCCACTTGCAGAATCCAAAGAAAGAGAGTTTCAAAACTGCTCCATCAGCAGGATTGTTCACCTCTGTGAGTTGAATGCAGTCATCACAGGAAACATTCTGAGAATGCTTCTGTCTGGGTTTGATGTGAAGATATACCCGTTTCGAAGGAAGGCCACAAAGTGGTCCAAATATCAACTTCCAGATTCTACAAAAAGAGTGTTTGAAAGCTGAATTACGAAAGCAAGGTTCAACTCTGTGATTTGAATGCAAACATCACAAAGAAGTTTCTCAGAATGCGTCCGTGTAGTTCTGGGAAGTATATCCCGTTTCCAACGAAATCCTCAGAGAGGTCCAAATATCCACTTGCAGATTCTACAGAAAGTGTGTTTGGAAACTGCTCCATCTAAAGGAATGTTCAGCTCTGTTAGTTCAATCCAATGATCAGTAAGCATTGTCTGTGAATGCTTCCGTTTGGTTTTTAGATGAAGTTATTTCCTTTACTACAGTAGGCCTCAAAGCAGTCCAAATCTCCAATCGCAGATTCTACAAAAAGATTGTTTTCAACCTGCTCTATCTATAGGAATGTTCAACTCTGTGAGTCGAATGCCATCATCACAAAGTAGTTTCTGAGAATGCTTCCATCTAGTTTTTATGTGAAGATTTTCCTTTTCCACCACAGGCCTCAAAGCCCTCCAAATGTCCACTTGCAGATTCTAGAAAAAGTGGGTTTCAGAGCTGCTCTGTCAAGAGGAAAGTTCAATTCTTGAAGTGGAACAGAAACATCACAAAGCAGTTTCTGAGAATGCTCCTGTTTAGTTTTTCTGTGAAGATGAATCCGTTTCCAACGAAATCTTCACAGAGGTCCACATATCCACCTGCAGAATCCAAAGAAAGAGAGTTTCAAAACTGCTCCATCAGCAGGATTGTTCACCTCTGTGAGTTGAATGCAGTCATCACAGGAAACATTCCGAGAATGCTTCTGTCTAGGTTTGATGTGAAGATATACCCGTTTCGAAGGAAGGCCACAAAGTGGTCCAAATATCCACTTGCAGATTCTACAAAAAGAGTGTTTGAAAGCTGAACTATGAAAGCAAGGTTCAACTCTGTGAGTTGAATGCAAACATCACAAAGAAGTTTCTCAGAATGCTTCCCTGTAGTTCTGGGAAGTTTATCCCGTTTCCAACGAAATCCTCAGAGAAGTCCAAATATCCACTTGCAGATTCTACAGAAAGTGTGTTTGGAAACTGCTCCATCTAAAGGAATGTTCAGCTCTGTTAGTTCAATCCAATGATCACTAAGAATTGTCTGTGAATGCTTCCGTTTGGTTTTTAGATGAAGTTATTTCCTTTACTACAGTAGGCCTCAAAGCAGTCCAAATCTCCAATCGCAGATTCTACGAAAAGATTGTTTACAACCTGCTCTATCTATAGGAATGTTCAACTCTGTGAGTCGAATGCAATCATCACAAAGTAGTTTCTGAGAATGCTTCCATCTAGTTTTTATGTGAAGATTTTCCTTTTCCACCACAGGCCTCAAAGCCCTCCAAATGTCCACTTGCAGATTCTAGAATAAGAGGGTTTCAGAGCTGCTCTGTCAAGAGGAAAGTTCAATTCCTGAAGTGGAACACAAACATCACAAAGCAGTTTCTGAGAATGCTTCTGTTTAGTTTTTCTGTGAAGATGAACCCGTTTCCAACGAAATCTTCACAGAGGTCCACATATCAACTTGCAGAATCCAAAGAGAGAGAGTTTCAAAAGTGCCCCATCAACAGGATTGTTCACCTCTGTGAGTTGAATGCAGTCATCACAGGAAACATTCTGAGAATGCTTCTGTCTAGGTTTGATGTGAAGATATACCCGTTTCGAAGGAAGGCCACAAAGTGGTCCAAATATCCACTTGCAGATTCTACAAAAAGAGTGTTTGAAAGCTGAACTGTGAAAGCAAGGTTCAACTCTGTGCGTTGAATGCAAACATCACAAAGAAGTTTCTCACAATGCTTCCGTGTAGTTCTGGGATGTTTAGCCCGTTTCCAACGAAATCCTCAGAGAGGTCCAAATATCCACTTGCAGATTCTACAGAAAGTGTGTTTGGAAACTGCTCCATCTAAAGGAATGTTCAGCTCTGTTAGTTCAATCCAGTGATCACTAAGAATTGTCTGTGAATGCTTCCGTTTGGTTTTTAGATGAAGTTATTTCCTTTACTACAGTAGGCCTCAAAGCAGTCCAAATCTCCAATCGCAGATTCTACAAAAAGATTGTTTACAACCTGCTCTATCTATAGGAATGTTCAACTCTGTGAGTCGAATGCAATCATCACAAAGTAGTTTCTGAGAATGCTTCCATCTAGTTTTTATGTGAAGATTTTCCTTTTCCACCACAGGCCTCAAAGCCCTCCAAATGTCCACTTGCAGATTCTAGAAAAAGAGGGTTTCAGAGCTGCTCTGTCAAGAGGAAAGGTCAATTCCTGAAGTGGAACACAAACATCACAAAGCAGTTTCTGAGAATGCTCCTGTTTAGTTTTTCTGTGAAGATGAACCCGTTTCCAACGAAATCTTCACAGAGGTCCACATATCCACTTGCAGAATCCAAAGAAAGAGAGTTTCAAAACTGCTCCATCAGCAGGATTGTTCACCTCTGTGAGTTGAATGCAGTCATCACAGGAAACATTCTGAGAATGCTTCTGTCTAGGTTTGATGTGAAGATATACCCGTTTCGAAGGAAGGCCAAAAAGTGGTCCAAATATCCACTTGCAGATTCTACAAAAAGAGTGTTTGAAAGCTGAACTATGAAAGCAAGGTTCAACTCTGTGAGTTGAATGCAAACATCACAAAGAAGTTTCTCAGAATGCTTCCGTGTAGTTCTGGGAAGTTTATCCCGTTTCCAACGAAATCCTCAGAGAAGTCCAAATATCCACTTGCAGATTCTACAGAAAGTGGGTTTGGAAACTGCTCCATCTAAAGGAATGTTCAGCTCTGTTAGTTCAATCCAATGATCACTAAGAATTGTCTGTGAATGCTTCCGTTTGGTTTTTAGATGAAGTTATTTCCTTTACTACAGTAGGCCTCAAAGCAGTCCAAATCTCCAATCGCAGATTCTACAAAAAGATTGTTTACAACCTGCTCTATCTATAGGAATGTTCAACTCTGTGAGTCGAATGCAATCATCACAAAGTAGTTTCTGAGAATGCTTCCATCTAGTTTTTATGTGAAGATTTTCCTTTTCCACCACAGGCCTCAAAGCCCTCCAAATGTCCACTTGCAGATTCTAGAAAAAGAGGGTTTCAGAGTTGCTCTGTCAAGAGGAAAGTTCAATTCCTGAAGTGGAACACAAACATCACAAAGCAGTTTCTGAGAATGCTCCTGTTTAGTTTTTCTGTGAAGATGAACCCGTTTCCAACGAAATCTTCACAGAGGTCCACATATCCACTTGCAGAATCCAAAGAAAGAGAGTTTCAAAACTGCTCCATCAGCAGGATTGTTCACCTCTGTGAGTTGAATGCAGTCATCACAGGAAACATTCTGAGAATGCTTCTATCTAGGTTTGATGTGAAGATATACCCGTTTCGAAGGAAGGCCACAAAGTGGTCCAAATATCCACTTGCAGATTCTACAAAAAGAGTGTTTGAAAGCTGAACTATGAAAGCAAGGTTCAACTCTGTGAGTTGAATGCAAACATCACAAAGAAGTTTCTCACAATGCTTCTGTGTAGTTCTGGGAAGTTTATCCCGTTTCCAACGAAATCCTCAGAGAGGTCCAAATATCCACTTGCAGATTCTACAGAAAGTGTGTTTGGAAACTGCGCCATCTAAAGGAATGTTCAGCTCTGTTAGTTCAATGCAATGATCACTAACAATTTTCTGTGAATGCTTCCGTTTGGTTTTTAGATGAAGTTATTTCCTTTACTACAGTAGGCCTCAAAGCAGTCCAAATCTCCAATCGCAGATTCTACAAAAAGATTGTTTACAACCTGCTCTATCTATAGGAATGTTCAACTCTGTGAGTCGAATGCAATCATCACAAAGGAGTTTCTGAGAATGCTTCCATCTAGTTTTTATGTGAAGATTTTCCTTTTCCACCACAGGCCTCAAAGCCCTCCAAATGTCCACTTGCAGATTCTAGAATAAGAGGGTTTTAGAGCTGCTCTGTCAAGAGGAAAGTTCAATTCCTGAAGTGGAACACAAACATCACAAAGCAGTTTCTGAGAATGCTCCTGTTTAGTTTTTCTGTGAAGATGAACCCGTTTCCAACGAAATCTTCACAGAGGTCCACATATCCACTTGCAGAATCCAAAGAAAGAGAGTTTCAAAACTGCTCCATCAGCAGGATTGTTCACCTCTGTGAGTTGAATGCAGTCATCACAGGAAACATTCTGAGAATGCTTCTGTCTAGGTTTGATGTGAAGATATACCCGTTTCGAAGGAAGGCCACAAAGTGGTCCAAATATCCACTTGCAGATTCTACAAAAAGAGTGTTTGAAAGCTGAACTATGAAAGCAAGGTTCAACTCTGTGAGTTGAATGCAAACATCACAAAGAAGTTTCTCACAATGCTTCCGTGTAGTTCTGGGAAGTTTATCCCGTTTCCAACGAAATCCTCAGAGAGGTCCAAATATCCACTTGCAGATTCTACAGAAAGTGGGTTTGGAAACTGCTCCATCTAAAGGAATCTTCAGCTCTGTTAGTTCAATCCAATGATCACTAAGCATTGTCTGTGAATGCTTCCGTTTGGTTTTTAGATGAAGTTATTTCCTTTACTACAGTAGGCCTCAAAGCAGTCCAAATCTCCAATCGCAGATTCTACAAAAAGATTGTTTACAACCTGCTCTATCTATAGGAATGTTCAACTCTGTGAGTCGAAAGCCATCATCACAAAGTAGTTTCTGAGAATGCTTCCATCTAGTTTTTATGTGAAGATTTTCCTTTTCCACCACAGGCCTCAAAGCCCTCCAAATGTCCACTTGCAGATTCTAGAAAAAGAGGGTTTCAGAGCTGCTCTATCAAGAGGAAAGTTCAATTCCTGAAGTGGAACACAAACATCACAAAGCAGTTTCGGAGAATGCTTCTGTTTAGTTTTTCTTTGAAGATGAACCCGTTTCCAAGGAAATCGTCAAAGAGGTCCACATATCCACTTGCAGATTCCAAAGAAAGAGAGGTTCAAAACTGCTCCATCAACAAGATTGTTCACCTCTGTGCGTTGAATGCAGTCATCACAGGAAACATTCTGAGAATGCTTCTGTCTAGGTTTGATGTGAAGATATACCCGTTTCGAAGGAAGGCCACAAAGTGGTCCAAATATCCACTTGCAGATTCTACAAATAGAGTGTTTGAAAGCTGAACTATGAAAGGAAGGTTCAACTCTGTGAGTTGAATGCAAAAGTGAGAAAGATGTTTCTGAGAATGCTTTCGTGTAGTTCTGGGAAATTTATCCCATTTCCAACGAAATCCTCAGAGAGGTCCAAATATCCACTTGCAGAGTCTACAGAATGTGTGTTTGGAAACTGCTGCATCTAAAGGAATGTTCAGCTCTCTGAGTTCAATCCAATCATCACAAAGAATTTTCTGTGAATGCTTCCGTTTGGTTTTTAGATGAAGTTATTTCCTTTACTACAGTAGGCCTCAAAGCAGTCCAAATCTCCAATCGCAGATTCTACAAAAAGATTGTTTACAACCTACTCTATCTATAGGAATGTTCAACTCTGTGAGTCGAATGCAATCATCACAAAGTAGTTTCTGAGAATGCTTCCATCTAGTTTTTATGTGAAGATTTTCCTTTTCCACCACAGGCCTCAAAGCCCTCCAAATGTCCACTTGCAGATTCTAGAAAAAGAGGGTTTCAGAGCTGCTCTGTCAAGAGGAAAGTTCAATTCTTGAAGTGGAACACAAACATCACAAAGCAGTTTCAGAGAATGCTTCTGTTTAGTTTTTCTGTGAAGATGAACCCGTTTACAACGAAATCTTCACAGAGGTCCACATATCCACTTGCAGAATCCAAAGAAAGAGAGTTTCAAAACTGCTCCATCAACCGGATTGTTCACCTCTGTGAGTTGAATGCAGTCATCACAGGAAACATTCTGAGAATTCTTCTGTCTAGGTTTCATGTGAAGATATACCCGTTTGGAAGGAAGGCCACAAAGTGGTCCAAATATCCAATTGCAGATTCTACAAAAAGAGTGTTTGAAAGCTGAACTATGAAAGCAAGGTTCAACTCTGTGAGTTGAATGCAAACATCACAAAGAAGTTTCTCAGAATGCTGCCGTGTAGTTCTGGGAAGTTTATCCCGTTTCCAACGAAATCCTCAGAGAGGTCCAAATATCCACTTGCAGATTCTACAGAAAGTGTGTTTGGAAACTGCGCCATCTAAAGGAATGTTCAGCTCTGTTAGTTCAATCCAATGATCACTAAGAATTGTCTTTGAATGCTTCCGTTTGGTTTTTAGATGAAGTTATTTCCTTTACTACAGTAGGCCTCAAAGCAGTCCAAATCTCCAATCGCAGATTCTACAAAAAGATTGTTTACAACCTGCTCTATCTATAGGAATGTTCAACTCTGTGAGTCGAATGCAATCATCACAAAGTAGTTTCTGAGAATGCTTCCATCTAGTTTTTATGTGAAGATTTTCCTTTTCCACCACAGGCCTCAAAGCCCTCCAAATGTCCACTTGCAGATTCTAGAAAAAGAGGGTTTCAGAGCTGCTCTGTCAAGAGGAAAGTTCAATTCTTGAAGTGGAACACAAACATCACAAAGCAGTTTCTGAGAATGCTCCTGTTTAGTTTTTCTGTGAAGATGAACCCGTTTCCAACGAAATCTTCACAGAGGTCCACATATCCACTTACAGAATCCAAAGAAAGAGAGTTTCAAAACTGCTCCATCAACAGGATTGTTCGCCTCTGTGAGTTGAATGCAGTCATCACAGGAAACATTCTGGGAATGCTTCTGTGTAGGTTTGATGTGAAGATATTCCCGTTTCGAAGGAAGGCCACAAAGTGGTCCAAATATCCACTTGCAGATTCTACAAAAAGAGTGTTTGAAAGCTGAACTATGAAAGCAAGGTTCAACTCTGTGAGTTAAATGCAAACATCACAAAGAAGTTTCTCAGAATGCTTCCGTGTAGTTCTGGGAAGTTTATCCCGCTTCCAACGAAATCCTCAGAGAAGTCCAAATATCCACTTGCATATTCTACAGAAAGTGTGTTTGGAAACTGCTCCATCTAAAGGAATATTCAGCTCTGTTAGTTCAATCCAATGATCACTAAGAATTGTCTGTGAATGCTTCCGTTTGGTTTTTAGATGAAGTTATTTCCTTTACTACAGTAGGCCTCAAAGCAGTCGAAATCTCCAATCGCAGATTCTACAAAAAGATAGTTTACAACCTGCTCTATCTATAGGAATGTTCAACTCTGTGAGTCGAAGGCAATCATCACAAAGTAGTTTCTGAGAATGCTTCCATCTAGTTGTTATGTGAAAATTTTCCTTTTCCACCACAGGCCTCAAAGCCCTCCAAATGTCCACTTGCAGATTCTAGAAAAAGAGGGTTTCAGAGCTGCTCTGTGAAGAGGAAAGTTCAATTCTTGAAGTGGAACACAAACATCACAAAGCAGTTTCTGAGAATGCTCCTGTTTAGTTTTTCTGTGAAGATGAACCCGTTTCCAACGAAATCTTCACAGAGGTCCACATATCCACTTGCAGAATCCAAAGAAAGAGAGTTTCAAAACTGCTCCATCAACAGGATTCTTCACCTCTGTGAGTTGAGTGCAGTCATCACAGGAAACATTCTGAGAATGCTTCTGTCTAGGTTTGATGTGAAGATATACCCGTTTCAAAGGAAGGCCACAAAGTGGCCCAAATATCCACTTGCAGATTCTACAAAAGGAGTGTTTGAAAGCTGAACTATGAAAGCAAGGTTCAACTCTGTGAGTTGAATGCAAACATCACAAAGAAGTTTCTCAGAATGCTTCCGTGTAGTTCTGGGAAGTTTATCCCATTTCCAACGAAATCCTCAGAGAAGTCCAAATATCCACTTGCAGATTCTACAGAAATTGGGTTTGGAACCTGCTCCATCTAAAGGAATATTCAGCTCTGTTAGTTCAATCCAATGATCACTAAGAATTGTCTGTGAATGCTTCCGTTTGGTTTTTAGATGAAGTTATTTCCTTTACTACAGTAGGCCTCAAAGCAGTCCAAATCTCCAATCGCAGATTCTACAAAAAGATTGTTTACAACCTGCTCTATCTATAGGAATGTTCAACTCTGTGAGTCGAATGCAATCATCACAAAGTAGTTTCTGAGAATGCTTCCATCTAGTTTTTATGGGAAGATTTTCCTTTTCCACCACAGGCCTCAAAGCCCTCCAAATGTCCACTTGCAGATTCTAGAAAAAGAGGGTTTCAGAGCTGCTCTGTCAAGAGGAAAGTTCAATTCTTGAAGTGGAACACAAACATCACAAAGCAGTTTCTGAGAATGCTCCTGTTTAGTTTTTCTGTGAAGATGAACCCGTTTCCAACGAAATCTTCACAGAGGTCCACATATCCACTTGCAGAATCCAAAGAAAGAGAGTTTCAAAAGTGCTCCATCAGCAGGATTGTTCACCTCTGTGAGTTGAATGCAGTCATCACAGGAAACATTCTGAGAATGCTTCTGTCTAGGTTTGATGTGAAGATATACCCGTTTCGAAGGAAGGCCAGAAAGTGGTCCAAATATCCACTTGCAGATTCTACAAAAAGAGTGTTTGAAAGCTGAACTATGAAAGCAAGGTTCAACTCTGTGAGTTGAATGCAAACATCACAAAGAAGTTTCTCAGAATGCTTCCGTGTAGTTCTGGGAAGTTTATCCCGTTTCCAACGAAATCCTCAGAGAAGTCCAAATATCCACTTGCAGATTCCACAGAAAGTGTGTTTGGAAACTGCTCCATCTAAAGGAATGTTCAGCTCTGTTAGTTCAATGCAATGATCACTAAGAATTGTCTGTGAATGCTTCCGTTTGGTTTTTAGATGAAGTTATTTCGTTTACTACAGTAGGCCTCAAAGCAGTCCAAATCTCCAATCGCAGATTCTACAAAAAGATTGTTTACAACCTGCTCTATCTATAGGAATGTTCAACTCTGTGAGTCGAATGCAATCATCACAAAGTAGTTTCTGAGAATGCTTCCATCTAGTTTTTATGTGAAGATTTTCCTTTTCCACCACAGGCCTCAAAGCCCTCCAAATGTCCACTTGCAGATTCTAGAAAAAGAGGGTTTCAGAGCTGCTCTGTCAAGAGGAAAGTTCAATTCTTGAAGTGGAACACAAACATCACAAAGCAGTTTCTGAGAATGCTCCTGTTTAGTTTTTCTGTGAAGATGAACCCGTTTCCAACGAAATCTTCACAGAGGTCCACATATCCACTTGCAGAATCCAAAGAAAGAAAGTTTCAAAACTGCTCCATCAGCAGGATTGTTCACCTCTGTGAGTTGAATGCAGTCATCACAGGAAACATTCCGAGAATGCTTCTGTCTAGGTTTGATGTGAAGATATACCCGTTTCGAAGGAAGGCCACAAAGTGGTCCAAATATCCACTTGCAGATTCTACAAAAGGAGTGTTTGAAAGCTGAACTATGAAAGCAAGGTTCAACTCTGTGAGTTGAATGCAAACATCACAAAGAAGTTTCTCACAATGCTTCCGTGTAGTTCTGGGAAGTTTATCCCGTTTCCAACGAAATCCTCAGAGAAGTCCAAATATCCACTTGCAGATTCTACAGAAAGTGTGTTTGGAAACTGCGCCATCTAAAGGAATGTTCAGCTCTGTTAGTTCAATGCAATGATCACTAAGAATTGTCTGTGAATGCTTCCGTTTGGTTTTTAGATGAAGTTATTTCCTTTACTACAGTAGGCCTCAAAGCAGTCCAAATCTCCAATCGCAGATTCTACAAAAAGATTGTTTACAACCTGCTCTATGTATAGGAATGTTCAACTCTGTGAGTCGAATGCAATCATCACAAAGTAGTTTCTGAGAATGCTTCCATCTAGTTTTTATGTGAAGATTTTCCTTTTCCACCACAGGCCGCAAAGCCCTCCAAATGTCCACTTGCAGATTCTAGAAAAAGAGGGTTTCAGAGCTGCTCTGCCAAGAGGAAAGTTCAATTCTTGAAGTGGAACACAAACATCACAAAGCAGTTTCTGAGAATGCTTCTGTTTAGTTTTTCTGTGAAGATGAACCCGTTTCCAACGAAATCTTCACAGAGGTCCACATATCCACTTGCAGAATCCAAAGAAAGAGAGTTTCAAAACTGCTCCATCAGCAGGATTGTTCACCTCTGTGAGTTGAATGCAGTCATCACAGGAAACATTCTGAGAATGCTTCTGTCTAGGTTTGATGTGAAGATATACCCGTTTCGAAGGAAGGCCACAAAGTGGTCCCAAATATCCACTTGCAGATTCTACAAAAAGAGTGTTTGAAAGCTGAACTATGAAAGCAAGGTTCAACTCTGTGAGTTGAATGCAAACATCACAAAGAAGTTTCTCAGAATGCTTCCGTGTAGTTCTGGGAAGTTTATCCCGTTTCCAACGAAATCCTCAGAGAGGTCCAAATATCCACTTGCAGATTCTACAGAAAGTGTGTTTGGAAACTGCGCCATCTAAAGGAATGTTCAGCTCTGTTAGTTCAATCCAATGATCACTAAGAATTGTCTGTGAATGCTTCCATTTGGTTTTTAGATGAAGTTATTTCCTTTACTACAGTAGGCCTCAAAGCAGTCCAAATCTCCAATCGCAGATTCTACAAAAAGATTGTTTACAACCTGCTCTATCTATAGGAATGTTCAACTCTGTGAGTCCAATGCAATCATCACAAAGTAGTTTCTGAGAATGCTTCCATCTAGTTTTTATGTGAAGATTTTCCTTTTCCACCACAGGCCTCAAAGCCCTCCAAATGTCCACTTGCAGATTCTAGAAAAAGAGGGTTTCAGAGCTGCACTGTCAAGAGGAAAGTTCAATTCTTGAAGTGGAACACAAACATCACAAAGCAGTTTCTGAGAATGCTCCTGTTTAGTTTTTCGGTGAAGATGAACCCGTTTCCAACGAAATCTTCACTGAGGTCCACATATCCGCTTGCAGAATCCAAAGAAAGAGAGTTTCAAAACTGCTCCATCAACAGGATTGTTCACCTCTGTGAGTTGAATGCAGTCATCACAGGAAACATTCTGAGAATGCTTCTGTCTAGGTTTGATGTGAAGATATACCCGTTTCGAAGGAAGGCCACAAAGTGGTCCAAATATCCACTTGCAGATTCTACAAAAAGAGTGTTTGAAAGCTGAACTATGAAAGCAAGGTTCAACTCTGTGAGTTGAATGCAAACATCACAAAGAAGTTTCTCACAATGCTTCCGTGTAGTTCTGGGAAGTTTATCCCGTTTCCAACGAAATCCTCAGAGAGGTCCAAATATCCACTTGCAGATTCTACAGAAAGTGTGTTTGGAAACTGCGCCATCTAAAGGAATGTTCAGCTCTGTTAGTTCAATCCAATGATCACTAAGAATTGTCTGTGAATGCTTCCGTTTGGTTTTTAGATGAAGTTATTTCCTTTACTACAGTAGGCCTCAAAGCAGTCCAAATCTCCAATCGCAGATTCTACAAAAAGATTGTTTACAACCTGCTCTATCTATAGGAATGTTCAACTCTGTGAGTCGAATGCAATCATCACAAAGTAGTTTCTGAGAATGCTTCCATCTAGTTTTTATGGGAAGATTTTCCTTTTCCACCACAGGCCTCAAAGCCCTCCAAATGTCCACTTGCAGATTCTAGAAAAAGAGGGTTTCAGAGCTGCTCTGTAAAGAGGAAAGTTCAATTCTTGAAGTGGAACACAAACATCACAAAGCAGTTTGCTGAGAATGCTTCTGTTTAGTTTTTCTGTGAAGATGAACCCGTTTCCAACGAAATCTTCACAGAGGTCCACATATCCACTTGCAGAATCCAAAGAAAGAGAGTTTCAAAACTGCTCCATCAGCAGGATTGTTCACCTCTGTGAGTTGAATGCAGTCATCACAGGAAACATTCTGAGAATGCTTCTGTCTAGGTTTGATGTGAAGATATACCCGTTTCGAAGGAAGGCCAGAAAGTGGTCCAAATATCCACTTGCAGATTCTACAAAAAGAGTGTTTGAAAGCTGAACTATGAAAGCAAGGTTCAACTCTGTGAGTTGAATGCAAACATCACAAAGAAGTTTCTCAGAATGCTTCCGTGTAGTTCTGGGAAGTTTATCCCGTTTCCAACGAAATCCTCAGAGAAGTCCAAATATCCACTTGCAGATTCTACAGAAAGTGTGTTTGGAAACTGCTCCATCTAAAGGAATGTTCAGCTCTGTTAGTTCAATGCAATGATCACTAAGAATTGTCTGTGAATGCTTCCGTTTGGTTTTTAGATGAAGTTATTTCCTTTACTACAGTAGGCCTCAAAGCAGTCCAAATCTCCAATCGCAGATTCTACAAAAAGATTGTTTACAACCTGCTCTATCTATAGGAATGTTCAACTCTGTGAGTTGAATGCAATCATCACAAAGTAGTTTCTGAGAATGCTTCCATCTAGTTTTTATGTGAAGATTTTCCTTTTCCACCACAGGCCTCAAATCCCTTCAAATGTCCACTTGCAGATTCTAGAATAAGAGGGTTTCAGAGCTGCTCTGTCAAGAGGAAAGTTCAATTCCTGAAGTGGAACACAAACATAACAAAGCAGTTTCTGAGAATGCTCCTGTTTAGTTTTTCTGTGAAGATGAACCCGTTTCCAACGAAATCTTCACAGAGGTCCACATATCCACTTGCAGAATCCAAAGAAAGAGAGTTTCAAAACTGCTCCATCAGCAGGATTGTTCACCTCTGTGAGTTGAATGCAGTCATCACAGGAAACATTCTGAGAATGCTTCTGTCTAGGTTTGATGTGAAGATATACCCGTTTCGAAGGAAGGCCACAAAGTGGTCCAAATATCCACTTGCAGATTCTACAAAAAGAGTGTTTGAAAGCTGAACTATGAAAGCAAGGTTCAACTCTGTGAGTTGCATGCAAACATCACAAAGAAGTTTCTCAGAATGCTTCCGTGTAGTTCTGGGAAGTTTATCCCGTTTCCAACGATATCCTCAGAGAGGTCCAAATATCCACTTGCAGATTCTACAGAAAGTGTGTTTGGAAACTGCTCCATCTAAAGGAATGTGCAGCTCTGTTAGTTCAATCCAATGATCACTAAGAATTGTATGTGAATGCTTCCGTTTGGTTTTTAGATGAAGTTATTTCCTTTACTACAGTAGGCCTCAAAGCAGTCCAAATCTCCAATCGCAGATTCTACAAAAAGATTGTTTACAACCTGCTCTATCTATAGGAATGTTCAACTCTGTGAGTCGAATGCAATCATCACAAAGTAGTTTCTGAGAATGCTTCCATCTAGTTTTTATGGGAAGATTTTCCTTTTCCACCACAGGCCTCAAAGCCCTCCAAATGTCCACTTGCAGATTCTAGAAAAAGAGGGTTTCAGAGCTGCTCTGTCAAGAGGAAAGTTCAATTCTTGAAGTGGAACACAAACATCACAAAGCAGTTTCTGAGAATGCTTCTGTTTAGTTTTTCTGTGAAGATGAACCCGTTTCCAACGAAATCTTCACAGAGGTCCACATATCCACTTGCAGAATCCAAAGAAAGAGAGTTTCAAAACTGCTCCATCAGCAGGATTGTTCACCTCTGTGAGTTGAATGCAGTCATCACAGGAAACATTCTGAGAATGCTTCTGTCTAGGTTTGATGTGAAGATATACCCGTTTCGAAGGAAGGCCACAAAGTGGTCCAAATATCCACTTGCAGATTCTACAAAAAGAGTGTTTGAAAGCTGAACTATGAAAGCAAGGTTCAACTCTGTGAGTTGAATGCAAACATCACAAAGAAGTTTCTCACAATGCTTCCGTGTAGTTCTGGGAAGTTTATCCCGTTTCCAACGAAATCCTCAGAGAGGACCAAATATCCACTTGCAGATTCCACAGAAAGTGTGTTTGGAAACTGCGCCATCTAAAGGAATGATCAGCTCTCTTAGTTCAATCCAATGATCACAAATAATTTTCTGTGAATGCTTCCGTTTGGTTTTTAGATGAAGTTATTTCCTTTACTACAGTAGGCCTCAAAGCAGTCCAAATCTCCAATCGCAGATTCTACAAAAAGATTGTTTACAACCTGCTCTATCTATAGGAATGTTCAACTCTGTGAGTCGAATGCAATCATCACAAAGTAGTTTCTGAGAATGCTTCCATCTAGTTTTTATGTGAAGATTTTCCTTTTCCACCACCCGCCTCAAAGCCCTCCAAATGTCCACTTGCAGATTCTAGAAAAAGAGGGTTTCAGAGCTGCTCTGTCAAGAGGAAAGTTCAATTCTTGAAGTGGAACACAAACATCACAAAGCAGTTTCTGAGAATGCTTCTGTTTAGTTTTTCTGTGAAGATGAACCCGTTTCCAACGAAATCTTCACAGAGGTCCACATATCCACTTGCAGAATCCAAAGAAAGAGAGTTTCAAAACTGCTCCATCAGCAGGATTGTTCACCTCTGTGAGTTGAATGCAGTCATCACAGGAAACATTCTGAGAATGCTTCTGTCTAGGTTTGATGTGAAGATATACCCGTTTCGAAGGAAGGCCACAAAGTGGTCCAAATATCCACTTGCAGATTCTACAAAAAGAGTGTTTGAAAGCTGAACTATGAAAGCAAGGTTCAACTCTGTGAGTTGAATGCAAACATCACAAAGAAGTTTCTCAGAATGCTTCCGTGTAGTTCTGGGAAGTTTATCCCGTTTCCAACGAAATCCTCAGAGAGGTCCAAATATCCACTTGCAGATTCTACAGAAAGTGTGTTTGGAATCTTCGCCATCTAAAGGAATGTTCAGCTCTGTTAGTTCAATCCAATGATCACTAAGAATTGTCTGTGAATGCTTCCGTTTGGTTTTTAGATGAAGTTATTTCCTTTACTACAGTAGGCCTCAAAGCAGTCCAAATCTCCAATCGCAGATTCTACAAAAAGATTGTTTACAACCTGCTCTATCTATAGGAATGTTCAACTCTGTGAGTCGAATGCAATCATCACAAAGTAGTTTCTGAGAATGCTTCCATCTAGTTTTTATGTGAAGATTTTCCTTTTCCACCACAGGCCTCAAAGCCCTCCAAATGTCCACTTGCAGATTCTAGAATAAGAGGGTTTTAGAGCTGCTCTGTCAAGAGGAAAGTTCAATTCCTGAAGTGGAACACAAACATCACAAAGCAGTTTCTGAGAATGCTCCTGTTTAGTTTTTCTGTGAAGATGAACATGTTTCCAACGAAATCTTCACAGAGGTCCACATATCCACTTGCAGAATCCAACGAAAGAGAGTTTCAAAACTGCTCCATCAGCAGGATTGTTCACCTCTGTGAGTTGAATGCAGTCATCACAGGAAACATTCTGAGAATGCTTCTGTCTAGGTTTGATGTGAAGATATACCCGTTTCGAAGGAAGGCCACAAAGTGGTCCAAATATCCACTTGCAGATTCTACAAAAAGAGTGTTTGAAAGCTGAACTATGAAAGCAAGGTTCAACTCTGTGAGTTGAATGCAAACATCACAAAGAAGTTTCTCACAATGCTTCCGTGTAGTTCTGGGAAGTTTATCCCGTTTCCAACGAAATCCACAGAGAAGTCCAAATATCCACTTGCAGATTCTACAGAAAGTGTGTTTGGAAACTGCTCCATCTAAAGGAATGTTCAGGTCTGTTAGTTCAATCCAATGATCACTAAGAATTTTCTGTGAATGCTTCCGTTTGGTTTTTAGATGAAGTAATTTCCTTTACTACAGTAGGCCTCAAAGCAGTCCAAATCTCCAATCGCAGATTCTACAAAAAGATTGTTTACAACCTGCTCTATCTATAGGAATGTTCATCTCTGTGAGTCGAATGCAATCATCCCAAAGTAGTTTCTGAGAATGCTTCCATCTAGTTTTTATAGGGAAGATTTTCCTTTTCCACCACAGGCCTCAAAGCCCTCCAAATGTCCACTTGCAGATTCTAGAAAAAGAGGGTTTCAGAGCTGCTCTGTCAAGAGGAAAGTTCAATTCTTGAAGTGGAACACAAACATCACAAAGCAGTTTCTGAGAATGCTCCTGTTTATTTTTTCTGTGAAGATGAACCCGTTTCCAACGAAATCTTCCCAGAGGTCCACATATCCACTTGCAGAATCCAAAGAAAGAGAGTTTCAAAACTGCTCCATCAGCAGGATTTTTCACCTCTGTGAGTTGAATGCAGTCATCACAGGAAACATTCTGAGAATGCTTCTGTCTAGGTTTGATGTGAAGATATACCCGTTTCGAAGGAAGGCCACAAAGTGGTCCAAATATCCACTTGCAGATTCTACAAAAAGAGTGTTTGAAAGCTGAACTATGAAAGCAAGGTTCAACTCTGTGAGTTGAATGCAAACATCACAAAGAAGTTTCTCAGAATGCTTCCCTGTAGTTCTGGGAAGTTTATCCCGTTTCCAACGAAATCCTCAGAGAAGTCCAAATATCCACTTGCAGATTCTACAGAAAGTGGGTTTGGAAACTGCTCCATCTAAAGGAATGTTCAGCTCTGTTAGTTCAATCCAATGATCACTAAGAATTGTCTGTGAATGCTTCCGTTTGGTTTTTAGATGAAGTTATTTCCTTTACTACAGTAGGCCTCAAAGCAGTCCAAATCTCCAATCGCAGATTCTACAAAAAGATTGTTTACAACCTGCTCTATGTATAGGAATGTTCAACTCTGTGAGTCGAATGCAATCATCACAAAGTAGTTTCTGAGAATGCTTCCATCTAGTTTTTATGTGAAGATTTTCCTTTTCCACCACAGGCCTCAAAGCCCTCCAAATGTCCACTTGCAGATTCTAGAAAAAGAGGGTTTCAGAGCTGCTCTGTCAAGAGGAAAGTTCAATTCTTGAAGTGGAACACAAACATCACAAAGTAGTTTCTGAGAATGCTTCTGTTTAGTTTTTCTGTGAAGATGAACCCGTTTCCAACGAAATCTTCACAGAGGTCCACATATCCACTTGCAGAATCCAAAGAAAGAGAGTTTCAAAACTGCTCCATCAACAGGATTGTTCACCTCTGTGAGTTGAATGCAGTCATCACAGGAAACATTCTGAGAATGCTTCTGTCTAGGTTTGATGTGAAGATATACCCGTTTCGAAGGAAGGCCACAAAGTGGTCCAAATATCCACTTGCAGATTCTACAAAAAGAGTGTTTGAAAGCTGAACTATGAAAGCAAGGTTCAACTCTGTGAGTTGAATGCAAACATCACAAAGAAGTTTCTCAGAATGCTTCCGTGTAGTTCTGGGAAGTTTATCCCGTTTCCAACGAAATCCTCAGAGAAGTCCAAATATCCACTTGCACATTCTACAGAAAGTGTGTTTGGAAACTGCTCCATCTAAAGGAATGTTCAGCTCTGTTAGTTCAATGCAATGATCACTAAGAATTGTCTGTGAATGCTTCCGTTTGGTTTTTAGATGAAGTTATTTCCTTTACTACAGTAGGCCTCAAAGCAGTCCAAATCTCCAATCGCAGATTCTACAAAAAGATTGTTTACAACCTGCTCTATCTATAGGAATGTTCAACTCTGTGAGTCGAATGCAATCATCACAAAGTAGTTTCTGAGAATGCTTCCATCTAGTTTTTATGTGAAGATTTTCCTTTTCCACCACAGGCCTCAAAGCCCTCCAAATGTCCACTTGCAGATTCTAGAATAAGAGGGTTTCAGAGCTGCTCTGTCAAGAGGAAAGTTCAATTCCTGAAGTGGAACACAAACATGACAAAGGAGTTTCTGAGAATGCTTCTGTTTAGTTTTTCTGTGAAGATGAACCCGTTTCCAACGAAATCTTCACAGAGGTCCACATATCCACTTGCAGAATCCAAAGAAAGAGAGTTTCAAAACTGCTCCATCAGCAGGATTGTTCACCTCTGTGAGTTGAATGCAGTCATCACAGGAAACACTCTGAGAATGCTTCTGTCTAGGTTTGATGTGAAGATATACCCGTTTCGAAGGAAGGCCACAAAGTGGTCCAAATATCCACTTGCAGATTCTACAAAAAGAGTGTTTGAAAGCTGAACTATGAAAGCAAGGTTCAACTCTGTGAGTTGAATGCAAACATCACAAAGAAGTTTCTCAGAATGCTTCCGTGTAGTTCTGGGAAGTTTATCCCGTTTCCAACGGAATCCTCAGAGAAGTCCAAATATCCACTTGCAGATTCTACAGAAAGTGTGTTTGGAAACTGTGCCATCTAAGGGAATGTTCAGCTCTCTTAGTTCAATCCAATGATCACTAAGAATTGTCTGTGAATGCTTCCGTTTGGTTTTTAGATGATGTTATTTCCTTTACTACAGTAGGCCTCAAAACAGTCCAAATCTCCAATCGCAGATTCTACAAAAAGATTGTTTACAACCTGCTCTATCTATAGGAATGTTCAACTCTGTGAGTCGAATGCAATCATCACAAAGTAGTTTCTGAGAATGCTTCCATCTAGTTTTTATGTGAAGATTTTCCTTTTCCACCACAGGCCTCAAAGCCCTCCAAATGTCCACTTGCAGACTCTAGAAAAAGAGGGTTTCAGAGCTGCTCTGTCAAGAGGAAAGTTCAATTCCTGAAGTGGAACACAAACATCACAAAGCAGTTTCTGAGAATGCTCCTGTTTAGTTTTTCTGTGAAGATGAACCCGTTTCCAACGAAATCTTCACAGTAGGTCCACATATCCACTTGCAGAATCCAAAGAAAGAGAGTTTCAAAACTGCTCCATCAACAGGATTGTTCACCTCTGTGAGTTGAATGCAGTCATCACAGGAAACATTCTGAGAATGCTTCTGTCTAGGTTTGATGTGAAGATATACCCGTTTCAAAGGAAGGCCACAAAGTGGTCCAAATATCCACTTGCAGATTCTACAAAAAGAGTGTTTGAAAGCTGAACTATGAAAGCAAGGTTCAACTCTGTGAGTTGAATGCAAACATCACAAAGAAGTTTCTCACAATGCTTCCGTGTAGTTCTGGGAAGTGTATCCCGTTTCCAACGAAATCCTCAGAGAAGTCCAAATATCCACTTGCAGATTCTGCAGAAAGTGTGTTTGGAAACTTCTCCATCTAAAGGAATGTTCAGCTCTGTTAGTTCAATCCAATGATCACTAAGAATTGTCTGTGAATGCTTCCGTTTGGTTTTTAGATGAAGTTATTTCCTTTACTACAGTAGGCCTCAAAGCAGTCCAAATCTCCAATCGCAGATTCTACAAAAAGATTGTTTACAACCTGCTCTATCTATAGGAATGTTCAACTCTGTGAGTCGAATGCAATCATCACAAAGTAGTTTCTGAGAATGCTTCCATCTAGTTTTTATGTGAAGATTTTCCTTTTACACCACAGGCCTCAAAGCCCTCCAAATGTCCACTTGCAGATTCTAGAAAAAGAGGGTTTCAGAGCTGCTCTGTCAAGAGGAAAGTTCAATTCTTGAAGTGGAACACAAACATCACAAAGCAGTTTCTGAGAATGCTTCTGTTTAGTTTTTCTGTGAAGATGAACCCGTTTCCAACGAAATCTTCACAGAGGTCCACATATCCACTTGCAGAATCCAAAGAAAGAGAGTTTCAAAACTGCTCCATCAGCAGGATTGTTCACCTCTGTGAGTTGAATGGAGTCATCACAGGAAACATTCTGAGAATGCTTCTGTCTAGGTTTGATGTGAATATATACCCGTTTCGAAGGAAGGCCACAAAGTGGTCCAAATATCCAGTTGCAGATTCTACAAAAAGAGTGTTTGAAAGCTGAACTATGAAAGCAAGGTTCAACTCTGTGAGTTGAATGCAAACATCACAAAGAAGTTTCTCACAATGCTTCCTGTGTAGTTCTGGGAAGTTTATCCCGTTTCCAACGAAATCCTCAGAGAGGTCCAAATATCCACTTGCAGATTTTACAGAAAGTGTGTTTGGAAACTACGCCATCTAAAGGAATGTTCAGCTCTGTTAGATCAATGCAATGATCACTAAGAATTGTCTGTGAATGCTTCCATTTGGTTTTTAGATGAAGTTATTTCCTTTACTACAGTAGGCCTCAAAGCAATCCAAATCTCCAATCGCAGATTCTACAAAAAGATTGTTTACAACCTGCTCTATCTATAGGAATGTTCAACTCTGTGAGTCGAATGCAATCATCACAAAGTAGTTTCTGAGAATGCTTCCATCTAGTTTTTATGTGAAGATTTTCCTTTTCCACCACAGGCCTCAAAGCCCTCCAAATGTCCACTTGCAGATTCTAGAAAAAGAGGGTTTCAGAGCTGCTCTGTCAAGAGGAAAGTTCAATTCCTGAAGTGGAACACAAACATCACAAAGCAGTTTCTGAGAATGCTTCTGTTTAGTTTTTCTGTGAAGATGAACCCGTTTCCAACGAAATCTTCACAGAGGTCCACATATCCACTTGCAGAATCCAAAGAAAGAGAGTTTCAAAACTGCTCCATCAGCAGGATTGTTCACCTCTGTGAGTTGAATGCAGTCATCACAGGAAACATTCTGAGAATGCTTCTGTCTAGGTTTGATGTGAAGATATACCCGTTTCAAAGGAAGGCCACAAAGTGGTCCAAATATCCACTTGCAGATTCTACAAAAAGAGTGTTTGAAAGCTGAACTATGAAAGCAAGGTTCAACTCTGTGACTTGAATGCAAACATCACAAAGAAGTTTCTCACAATGCTTCCGTGTAGTTCTGGGAAGTTTATCCCGTTTCCAACGAAATCCTCAGAGAGGTCCAAATATCCACTTGCAGATTCTCCAGAAAGTGTGTTTGGAATCTGCTCCATCTAAAGGAATGTTCAGCTCTGTTAGTTCAATCCAATGATCACTAAGAATTGTCTGTGAATGCTTCCGTTTGGTTTTTAGATGAAGTTATTTCCTTTACTACAGTAGGCCTCAAAGCAGTCCAAATCTCCAATCGCAGATTCTACAAAAAGATTGTTTACAACCTGCTCTATCTATAGGAATGTTCAACTCTGTGAGTCGAATGCAATCATCACAAAGTAGTTTCTGAGAATGCTTCCATCTAGTTTTTATGTGAAGATTTTCCTTTTCCACCACAGGCCTCAAAGCCCTCCAAAGGTCCACTTGCAGATTCTAGAAAAAGAGGGTTTCAGAGCTGCTCTGTCAAGAGGAAAGCTCAATTCTTGAAGTGGAACACAAACATCACAAAGCAGTTTCTGAGAATGCTTCTGTTTAGTTTTTCTGTGAAGATGAACCCGTTTCCAACGAAATCTTCACAGAGGTCCACATATCCACTTGCAGAATCCAAAGAAACAGAGTTTCAAAACTGCTCCATCAGCAGGATTGTTCACCTCTGTGAGTTGAATGCAGTCATCACAGGAAACATTCTGAGAATGCTTCTGTCTAGGTTTGATGTGAAGATATACCCGTTTCGAAGGAAGGCCCCAAAGTGGTCCAAATATCCACTTACAGATTCTACAAAAAGAGTGTTTGAAAGCTGAAATATGAAAGCAAGGTTCAACTCTGTGAGTTGAATGCAAACATCACAAAAAAGTTTCTCAGAATGCTTCCGTGTAGTTCTTTGAAATTTAGCCCGTTTCCAACGAAATCCTCAGATAGGTCCAAATATCCACTTGCAGATTCTACAGAAAGTGTGTTTGGAAACTGTGCCATCTAAAGGAATGTTCAGCTCTGTTAGTTCAATCCAATGATCACTAAGAATTTTCTGTGAATGCTTCCGTTTGGTTTTTAGATGAAGTTATTTCCTTTACTACAGTAGGCCTCAAAGCAGTCCAAATCTCCAATCGCAGATTCTACAAAAAGATTGTTTACAACCTGCTCTATCTATAGGAATGTTCAACTCTGTGAGTCGAATGCAATCATCACAAAGTAGTTTCTGAGAATGCTTCCATCTAGTTTTTATGTGAAGATTTTCCTTTTCCACCACAGGCCTCAAAGCCCTCCAAATGTCCACTTGCAGATTCTAGAATAAGAGGGTTTTAGAGCTGCTCTGTCAAGAGGAAAGTTCAATTCCTGAAGTGGAACACAAACATCACAAAGCAGTTTCTGAGAATGCTTCTGTTTAGTTTTTCTGTGAAGATGAACCCGTTTCCAACGAAATCTTCACAGAGGTCCACATATCCACTTGCAGAATCCAAAGAAAGAGAGTTTCAAAACTCCTCCATCAGCAGGATTGTTCACCTCTGTGAGTTGAATGCAGTCATCAGAGGAAACATTCTGAGAATGCTTCTGTCTAGGTTTGATGTGAAGATATACCCTTTTCGAAGGAAGGCCACAAAGTGGTCCAAATATCCACTTGCAGATTCTACAAAAAGAGTGTTTGAAAGCTGAACTATGAAAGCAAGGTGCAAATCTGTGAGTTGAATGCAAACATCACAAAGAAGTTTCTCAGAATGCTTCCGTGTAGTTCTGGGAAGTTTATCCCGTTTCCAACGAAATCCTCAGAGAGGTCCAAATATCCACTTGCAGATTCTACATAAAGTGTGTTTGTAAACTGCTCCATCTAAAGGAATGTTCAGCTCTGTTAGTTCAATCCAATGATCACTAAGAATTGTCTGTGAATGCTTCCGTTTGGTTTTTAGATGAAGTTATTTCCTTTACTACAGTAGGCCTCAAAGCAGTCCAAATCTCCAATCGCAGATTCTACAAAAAGATTGTTTACAACCTGCTCTATCTATAGGAATGTTCAACTCTGTGAGTCGAATGCAATCATCACAAAGTAGTTTCTGAGAATGCTTCCATCTAGTTTTTATGTGAAGATTTTCCTTTTCCACCACAGGCCTCAAAGCCCTCCAAATGTCCACTTGCAGATTCTAGAATAAGAGGGTTTTAGAGCTGCTCTGTCAAGAGGAAAGTTCAATTCCTGAAGTGGAACACAAACATCACAAAGCAGTTTCTGAGAATGCTTCTGTTTAGTTTTTCTGTGAAGATGAACCCGTTTCCAACGAAATCTTCAAAGAGGTCCACATATCCACTTGCAGAATCCAAAGAAAGAGAGCTTCAAAACTACTCCATCAGCAGGATTGTTCACCTCTGTGAGTTGAATGCAGTCATCACAGGAAACATTCTGAGAATGCTTCTGTCTAGGTTTGATGTGAAGATATACCCGTTTCGAAGGAAGGCCACAAAGTGGTCCAAATATCCACTTGCAGATTCTACAAAAAGAGTGTTTGAAAGCTGAACTATGAAAGCAAGCTTCAACTCTGTGAGTTGAATGCAAACATCAGAAAGAAGTTTCTCAGAATGCTTCCGTGTAGTTCTGGGAAGTTTATCCCGTTTCCAACGAAATCCTCAGAGAGGTCCAAATATCCACTTGCAGATTCTACAGAAAGTGGGTTTGGAAACTGCGCCATCTAAAGCAATGTTCAACTCTGTTAGTTCAATGCAATGATCACTAAGAATTGTCTGTGAATGCTTCCGTTTGGTTTTTAGATGAAGTTATTTCCTTTACTACAGTAGGCCTCAAAGCAGTCCAAATCTCCAATCGCAGATTCTACAAAAAGATTGTTTACAACCTGCTCTATCTATAGGAATGTTCAACTCTGTGAGTCGAAAGCCATCATCACAAAGTAGTTTCTGAGAATGCTTCCATCTAGTTTTTATGTGAAGATTTTCCTTTTCCACCACAGGCCTCAAAGCCCTCCAAATGTCCACTTGCAGATTCTAGTAAAAGAGGGTTTCAGAGCTGCTCTGTCAAGAGGAAAGTTCAATTCTTGAAGTGGAACACAAACATCACAAAGTAGTTTCTGAGAATGCTCCTGTTTAGTTTTTCTGTGAAGATGAACCCGTTTCCAACGAAATCTTCACAGAGGTCCACATATCCACTTGCAGAATCCAAAGAAAGAGAGTTTCAAAACTGCTCCATCAGCAGGATTGTTCACCTCTGTGAGTTGAATGCAGTCATCACAGGAAACATTCTGAGAATGCTTCTGTCTAGGTTTGATGTGAAGATATACCCGTTTCGAAGGAAGGCCACAAAGTGGTCCAAATATCCACTTGCAGATTCTACAAAAAGAGTGTTTGAAAGCTGAACTATGAAAGCAAGGTTCAACTCTGTGAGTTGAATGCAAACATCACAAAGAAGTTTCTCAGAATGCTTCCGTGTAGTTCTGGGAAGTTTATCCCGTTTCCAACGAAATCCTCAGAGAGGTCCAAATATCCACTTGCAGATTCTACAGAAAGTGTGTTTGGAAACTACGCCATCTAAAGGAATGTTCAGCTCTGTTAGATCAATGCAATGATCACTAAGAATTGTCTGTGAATGCTTCCGTTTGGTTTTTAGATGAAGTTATTTCCTTTACTACAGTAGGCCTCAAAGCAGTCCAAATCTCCAATCGCAGATTCTACAAAAAGATTGATTACAACCTGCTCTATCTATAGGAATGTTCAACTCTGTGAGTCGAATGCAATCATCACAAAGTAGTTTCTGAGAATGCTTCCATAAAGTTTTTATGTGAAGATTTTCCTTTTCCACCACAGGCCTCAAAGCCCTCCAAATGTCCACTTGCAGATTCTAGAAAAAGAGGGTTTCAGAGCTGCTCTGTCAAGAGGAAAGTTCAATTCCTGAAGTGGAACACAAACATCACAAAGCAGTTTCTGAGAATGCTTCTGTTTAGTTTTTCTGTGAAGATGAACCCGTTTCCAACGAAATCTTCACAGAGGTCCACATATCCACTTGCAGAATCCAAAGAAGGAGAGTTTCAAAACTGCTCCATCAGCAGGATTGTTCACCTCTGTGAGTTGAATGCAGTCATCACAGGAAACATTCTGAGAATGCTTCTGTCTAGGTTTGATGTGAAGATATACCAGTTTCGAAGGAAGGCCACAAAGTGGTCCAAATATCCACTTGCAGATTCTACAAAAACAGTGTTTGAAAGCTGAACTATGAAAGCCATGTTCAACTCTGTGAGTTGAATGCAAACATCACAAAGAAATTTCTCAGAATACTTCCGTGTAGTTCTGGGAAGTATATCCCGTTTCCAACGAAATCCTCAGAGAGGTCCAAATATCCACTTGCAGATTCTACAGAAACTGGGTTTGGAAACTGCTCCATCTAAAGGAATCTTCAGCTCTGTTAGTTCAATGCAATGATCACTAAGCATTGTCTGTGAATGCTTCCGTTTGGTTTTTAGATGAAGTTATTTCCTTTACTACAGTAGGCCTCAAAGCAGTCCAAATCTCCAATCGCAGATTCTACAAAAAGATTGTTTACAACCTGCTCTATCTATAGGAATGTTCAACTCTGTGAGTCGAATGCAATCATCACAAAGTAGTTTCTGAGAATGCTTCCATCTAGTTTTTATGTGAAGAGTTTCCTTTTCCACCACAGGCCTCAAAGCCCTCCAAATGTCCACTTGCAGATTCTAGAAAAAGAGGGTTTCAGAGTTGCTCTGTCAAGAGGAAAGTTCAATTCCTGAAGTGGAACACAAACATCACAAAGCAGTTTCTGAGAAGGCTCCTGTTTAGTTATTCTGTGAAGATGAACCCGTTTCCAACGAAATCTTCACAGAGGTCCACATATCCACTTCCAGAATCCAAAGAAAGAGAGTTTCAAAACTGCTCCATCAGCAGGATTGTTCACCTCTGTGAGTTGAATGCAGTCATCACAGGAAACATTCTGAGAATGCTTCTGTCTAGATTTGATGTGAAGATATACCCGTTTCGAAGGAAGGCCACAAAGTGGTCCAAATATCCACTTGCAGATTCTACAAAAAGAGGGTTTGAAAGCTGAACTATGAAAGCAAGGTTCAACTCTGTGAGTTGAAAGCAAACATCACAAAGAAGTTTCTCAGAATGCTTCCTTGTAGTTCTGGGAAGTTTATCCCGTTTCCAACGAAATCCTCAGAGAGGTCCAAATATCCACTTGCAGATTCTACAGAAAGTGTGTTTGGAACCTGCGCCATCTAAAGGAATGTTCAGCTCTGTTAGTTCAATGCAATGATCACTAAGAATTGTCTGTGAATGCTTCCGTTTGGTTTTTAGATGAAGTTATTTCCTTTACTACAGTAGGCCTCAAAGCAGTCCAAATCTCCAATCGCAGATTCTACAAAAAGATTGTTTACAACCTGCTCTATCTATAGGAATGTTCAACTCTGTGAGTCGAATGCAATCATCACAAAGTAGTTTCTGAGAATGCTTCCATCTAGTTTTTATGTGAAGATTTTCCTTTTCCACCACAGGCCTCAAAGCCCTCCAAATGTCCACTTGCAGATTCTAGAAAAAGAGGGTTTCAGAGCTGCTCTGTCAAGAGGAAAGTTCAATTCCTGAAGTGGAACACAAACATCACAAAGCAGTTTCTGAGAATGCTCCTGTTTAGTTTTTCTGTGAAGATGAACCCGTTTCCAACGAAATCTTCACAGAGGTCCACATATCCACTTGCAGAATCCAAAGAAAGAGAGTTTCAAAACTGCTCCATCAGCAGGATTGTTCACCTCTGTGAGTTGAATGCAGTCATCACAGGAAACATTCTGAGAATGCTTCTGTCTAGGTTTGATGTGAAGATATACCCGTTTCGAAGGAAGGCCACAAAGTGGTCCAAATATCCACTTGCAGATTCTACAAAAAGAGTGTTTGAAAGCTGAACTATGAAAGCAAGGTTCAACTCTGTGAGTTGAATGCAAACATCAAAAAGAAGTTTCTCACAATGCTTCCCTGTAGTTCTGGGAAGTTTATCCCGTTTCCAACGAAATCCTCAGAGAAGTCCAAATATCCACTTGCAGATTCTACAGAAAGTGTGTTTGGAAACTGCGATATCTACAGGAATGTTCAGCTCTGTTAGTTCAATGCAATGATCACTAAGAATTGTCTGTGAATGCTTCCGTTTGGTTTTTAGATGAAGTTATATCCTTTTCTACAGTAGGCCTCAAAGCAGTCCAAATCTCCAATCGCAGATTCTACAAAAAGATTGTTTACAACCTGCTCTATCTATAGGAATGTTCAACTCTGTGAGTCGAATGCAATCATCACAAAGTAGTTTCTGAGAATGCTTCCATCTAGTTTTTATGTGAAGGTTTTCCTTTTCCACCACAGGCCTCAAAGCCCTCCAAATGTCCACTTGCAGATTCTAGAAAAAGAGGGTTTCAGAGCTGCTCTGTCAAGAGGAAAGTTCAATTCTTGAAGTGGAACACAAACATCACAAAGCAGTTTGCTGAGAATGCTTCTGTTTAGTTTTTCTGTGAAGATGAACCCGTTTCCAACGAAATCTTCACAGAGGTCCACATATCCACTTGCAGAATCCAAAGAAAGAGAGTTTCAAAACTGCTCCATCAGCAGGATTGTTCACCTCTGTGAGTTGAATGCAGTCATCACAGGAAACATTCTGAGAATGCTTCTGTCTAGGTTTGATGTGAAGATATACCCGTTTCGAAGGAAGGCCACAAAGTGGTCCAAATATCCACTTGAAGATTCTACAAAAAGAGTGTTTGAAAGCTGAACTATGAAAGCAAGGTTCAACTCTGTGAGTTGAATGCAAACATCACAAAGAAGTTTCTCAGAATGCTTTCCGTGTAGTTCTGGGAAGTTTATCCCGTTTCCAACGAAATCCTCAGAGAAGTCCAAATATCCACTTGCAGATTCTACAGAAAGTGGGTTTGGAAACTGCTCCATCTTAAGGAATGTTCAGCTCTGTTAGTTCAATCCAATGATCACTAAGAATTGTCTGTGAATGCTTCCGTTTGGTTTTTAGATGAAGTTATTTCCTTTACTACAGTAGGACTCAAAGCAGTCCAAATCTCCAATCGCAGATTCTACAAAAAGATTGTTTTCAACCTGCTCTATCTATAGGAATGTACAACTCTGTGAGTCGAATGCAATCATCACAAAGTAGTTTCTGAGAATGCTTCCATCTAGTTTTTATGTGAAGATTTTCCTTTTCCACCACAGGCCTCAAAGCCCTCCAAATGTCCACTTGCAGATTCTAGAAAAAGAGGGTTTCAGAGCTGCTCTGTCAAGAGGAAAGTTCAATTCTTGAAGTGGAACACAAACATCACAAAGTAGTTTCTGAGAATGCTCCTGTTTAGTTTTTCTGTGAAGATGAACCCGTTTCCAACGAAATCTTCACAGAGGTCCACATATCCACTTGCAGAATCCAAAGAAAGAGAGTTTCAAAACTGCTCCATCAGCAGGATTGTTCACCTCTGTGAGTTGAATGCAGTCATCACAGGAAACATTCTGAGAATGCTTCTGTCTAGGTTTGATGTGAAGATATACCCGTTTCGAAGGAAGGCCACAAAGTGGTCCAAATATCCACTTGCAGATTCTACAAAAAGAGTGTTTGAAAGCTGAACTATGAAAGCAAGTTTCAACTCTGTGAGTTGAATGCAAACATCAAAAGGAAGTTTCTCAGAATGCTTCCGTGTAGTTCTGGGAAGTTTATCCTGTTTCCAACGAAATCCTCAGAGAAGTCCAAATATCCACTTGCAGATTCTACAGAAAGTGTGTTTGTAAACTGCTCTATCTAAAGGAATGTTCAGCTCTGTTTGTTCAATCCAATGATCACTAAGAATTGTCTGTGAATTCTTCCGTTTGGTTTTTAGATGAAGTTATTTCATTTACTACAGTAGGCCTCAAAGCAGTCCAAATCTCCAATCGCAGATTCTACAAAAAGATTGTTTACAACCTGCTCTATCTATAGGAATGTTCAACTCTGTGAGTCGAATGCAATCAT
Source organism: Homo sapiens (assembly GCF_000001405.40). Classification (NCBI taxonomy): domain Eukaryota; kingdom Metazoa; phylum Chordata; class Mammalia; order Primates; family Hominidae; genus Homo; species Homo sapiens. Next base: position 53,137,899 of record NC_000011.10, on the reverse strand, counting down.
CACAAAGTAGTTTCTGAGAATGCTTCCATCTAGTTTTTAGGTGAAGATTTTCCTTTTCCACCACAGGCCTCAAAGCCCTCCAAATGTCCACTTGCAGATTCTAGAAAAAGAGGGTTTCAGAGCTGCTCTGTCAAGAGGAAAGTTCAATTCTTGAAGTGGAACACAAACATCACAAAGCAGTTTCTGAGAATGCTTCTGTTTAGTTTTTCTGTGAAGATGAACCCGTTTCCAACGAAATCTTCACAGAGGTCCACATATCCACTTGCAGAATCCAAAGAAAGAGAGTTTCAAAACTGCTCCATCAGCAGGATTGTTGACCTCTGTGAGTTGAATGCAGTCATCACAGGAAACATTCTGAGAATGCTTCTGTCTAGGTTTGATGTGAAGATATACCCGTTTCGAAGGAAGGCCACAAAGTGGTCCAAATATCCACTTGCAGATTCTACAAAAAGAGTGTTTGAAAGCTGAACTATGAAAGCAAGGTTCAACTCTGTGAGTTGAATGCAAACATGACAAAGAAGTTTCTCAGAATGCTTCCGTGTAGTTCTGGGAAGTTTATCCCGTTTCCAACGAAATCCTCAGAGAGGTCCAAATATCCACTTGCAGATTCTACAGAAAGTGTGTTTGGAAACTGCGCCATCTAAGGGAATCTTCAGCTCTGTTAGTTCAATCCAATGATCACTAAGAATTGTCTGTGAATGCTTCCGTTTGGTTTTTAGATGAAGTTATTTCCTTTACTACAGTAGGCCTCAAAGCAGTCCAAATCTCCAATCGCAGATTCTACAAAAAGATTGTTTACAACCTGCTCTATCTATAGGAATGTTCAACTCTGTGAGTCGAATGCAATCATCACAAAGTAGTTTCTGAGAATGCTTCCATCTAGTTTTTATGGGAAGATTTTCCTTTTCCACCACAGGCCTCAAAGCCCTCCAAATGTCCACTTGCAGATTCTAGAAAAAGAGGGTTTCAGAGCTGCTCTGTCAAGAGGAAAGTTCAATTCTTGAAGTGGAACACAAACATCACAAAGCAGTTTCTGAGAATGCTCCTGTTTAGTTTTTCTGTGAAGATGAACCCGTTTCCAACGAAATCTTCACAGAGGTCCACATATCCACTTGCAGAATCCAAAGAAAGAGAGTTTCAAAACTGCTCCATCAGCAGGATTGTTCACCTCTGTGAGTTGAATGCAGTCATCACAGGAAACATTCTGAGAATGCTTCTGTCTAGGTTTGATGTGAAGATATACCCGTTTCGAAGGAAGGCCACAAAGTGGTCCAAATATCCACTTGCAGATTCTACAAAAAGAGTGTTTGAAAGCTGAACTATGAAAGCAAGGTTCAACTCTGTGAGTTGAATGCAAACATCACAAAGAAGTTTCTCACAATGCTTCCGTGTAGTTCTGGGAAGTTTATCCCGTTTCCAACGAAATCCTCAGAGAAGTCCAAATATCCACTTGCAGATTCTACAGAAAGTGTGTTTGGAAACTGCGCCATCTAAAGGAATGTTCAGCTCTGTTAGTTCAATGCAATGATCACTAAGAATTGTCTGTGAATGCTTCCGTTTGGTTTTTAGATGAAGTTATTTCCTTTACTACAGTAGGCCTCAAAGCAGTCCAAATCTCCAATCGCAGATTCTACAAAAAGATTGTTTACAACCTGCTCTATCTATAGGAATGTTCAACTCTGTGAGTCGAATGCAATCATCACAAAGTAGTTTCTGAGAATGCTTCCATCTAGTTCTTATGTGAAGATTTTCCTTTTCCACCACAGGCCTCAAAGCCCTCCAAATGTCCACTTGCAGATTCTAGAAAAAGAGGGTTTCAGAGCTGCTCTGTCAAGAGGAAAGTTCAATTCTTGAAGTGGAACGCAAACATCACAAAGCAGTTTCTGAGAATGCTTCTGTTTAGTTTCTCTGTGAAGATGAACCCCTTTGCAACGAAATCTTCAAAGAGGTCCACATATCCACTTGCAGACTCCAAAGAAAGAGAGTTTCAAAACTGCTCCATCAACAGGATTGTTCACCTCTGTGAGTTGAATGCAGTCATCACAGGAAACATTCTGAGAATGCTTCTGTCTAGGTTTGATGTGAAGATATACCCGTTTCGAAGGAAGGCCACAAAGTGGTCCAAATATCCACTTGCAGATTCTACAAAAAGAGTGTTTGAAAGCTGAACTATGAAAGCAAGGTTCAACTCTGTGAGTTGAATGCAAACATGACAAAGAAGTTTCTCAGAATGCTTCCGTGTAGTTCTGGGAAGTTTATCCCGTTTCCAACGAAATTCTCAGAGAAGTCCAAATATCCACTTGCAGATTCTACAGAAAGTGGGTTTGGAAACTGCTCCATCTAAAGGAATGTTCAGCTCTGTTAGTTCAATCCAATGATCACTAAGAATTGTCTGTGAATGCTTCCGTTTGGTTTTTAGATGAAGTTATTTCCTTTACTACAGTAGGCCTCAAAGCAGTCCAAATCTCCAATCGCAGATTCTACAAAAAGATTGTTTACAACCTGCTCTATCTATAGGAATGTTCAACTCTGTGAGTCGAATGCAATCATCACAAAGTAGTTTCTGAGAATGCTTCCATAAAGTTTTTATGTGAAGATTTTCCTTTTCCACCACAGGCCTCAAAGCCCTCCAAATGTCCACTTGCAGATTCTAGAAAAAGAGGGTTTCAGAGCTGCTCTGTCAAGAGGAAAGTTCAATTCTTTAAGTGGAACACAAACATCACAAAGCAGTTTCTGAGAATGCTCCTGTTTAGTTTTTCTGTGAAGATGAACCCGTTTCCAACGAAATCTTCACAGAGGTCCACATATCCACTTGCAGAATCCAAAGAAAGAGAGTTTCAAAACTGCTCCAACAGCAGGATTGTTCACCTCTGTGAGTTGAATGCAGTCATCACAGGAAACATTCTGAGAATGCTTCTGTCTAGGTTTGATGTGAAGATATACCCGTTTCGAAGGAAGGCCACAAAGTGGTCCAAATATCCACTTGCAGATTCTACAAAAAGAGTGTTTGAAAGCTGAACTATGAAAGCAAGGTTCAACTCTGTGAGTTGAATGCAAACATCACAAAGAAGTTTCTCAGAATGCTTCCGTGTAGTTCTGGGAAGTTTATCCCGTTTCCAACGAAATCCTCAGTAGAAGTCCAAATATCCACTTGCAGATTCTACAGAAAGTGGGTTTGGCAACTGCTCCATCTAAAGGAATGTTCAGCTCTGTTAGTTCAATCCAATGATCACTAAGAATTGTCTGTGAATGCTTCCGTTTGGTTTTTAGATGAAGTTATTTCCTTTACTACAGTAGGCCTCAAAGAAATCCAAATCTCCAATCGCAGATTCTACAAAAACATTGTTTACAACCTGCTCTATCTATAGGAATGTTCAACTCTGTGAGTCGAATGCAGTCATCACAAAGTAGTTTCTGAGAATGCTTCCATCTAGTTTTTATGTGAAGATTTTCCTTTTCCACCACAGGCCTCAAAGCCCTCCAAATGTCCACTTGCAGACTCTAGAAAAAGAGGGTTTCAGAGCTGCTCTCTCAAGAGGAAAGTTCAATTCTTGAAGTGGAACACAAACATCACAAAGCTGTTTCTGAGAATGCTTCTGTTTAGTTTTTCTGTGAAGAAGAAACAGTTTTCAACGAAATCTTCAGAGAGGTCCACATATCCACTTGCAGAATCCAAAGAAAGAGAGTTTCAAAACTGCTCCATCAGCAGGATTGTTCACCTCTGTGAGTTGAATGCAGTCATCACAGGAAACATTCTGAGAATGCTTCTGTCTAGGTTTGATGTGAAGATATACCCGTTTCGAAGGAAGGCCACAAAGTGGTCCAAATATCCACTTGCAGATCCTACAATAAGAGTGTTTGAAAGCTGAACTATGAAAGCAAGGTTCAACTCTGTGAGTTGAATGCAAACATCACAAAGAAGTTTCTCAGAATGCTTCCGTGTAGTTCTGGGAAGTTTATCCCGTTTCCAACGAAATCCTCAGAGAAGTCCAAATATCAACTTGCAGATTCTACAGAAAGTGTGTTTGGAAACTGCTCCATCTAAAGGAATGTTCAGCTCTGTTAGTTCAATGCAATGATCACTAAGAATTGTCTGTGAATGCTTCCGTTTGGTTTTTAGATGAAGTTATTTCCTTTACTACAGTAGGCCTCAAAGCAGTCCAAATCTCCAATCGCAGATTCTACAAAAAGATTGTTTACAACCTGCTCTATCTATAGGAATGTTCAACTCTGTGAGTCGAATGCAATCATCACAAAGTAGTTTCTGAGAATGCTTCCATCTAGTTTTTATGTGAAGATTTTCCTTTTCCACCACAGGCCTCAAAGCCCTCCAAATGTCCACTTGCAGATTCTAGAATAAGAGGATTTCAGAGCTGCTCTGTGAAGAGGAAAGTTCAATTCCTGAAGTGGAACACAAACATCACAAAGCAGTTTCTGAGAATGCTCCTGTTTAGTTTTTCTGTGAAGATGAACCCGTTTCCAACGAAATCTTCACAGAGGTCCACATATCCACTTGCAGAATCCAAAGAAAGAGAGTTTCAAAACTGCTCCATCAGCAGGATTGTTCACCTCTGTGAGTTGAATGCAGTCATCACAGGAAACATTCTGAGAATGCTTCTGTCTAGGTTTGATGTGAAGATATACCCGTTTCGAAGGAAGGCCACAAAGTGGTCCAAATATCCACTTGCAGATTCTACAAAAAGAGTGTTTGAAAGCTGAACTATGAAAGCAAGGTTCAACTCTGTGAGTTGAATGCAAACATCACAAAGAAGTTTCTCACAATGCTTCCGTGTAGTTCTGGGAAGTTTATCCCGTTTCCAACGAAATCCTCAGAGAAGTCCAAATATCCACTTGCAGATTCTACAGAAAGTGTGTTTGGAAACTGCTCCATCTAAAGGAATGTTCAGCTCTGTTAGTTCAATCCAATGATCACTAAGAATTGTCTGTGAATGCTTCCGTTTGGTTTTTAGATGAAGTTATTTCCTTTACTACAGTAGGCCTCAAAGCAGTCCAAATCTCCAATCGCAGATTCTACAAAAGATTGTTTACAACCTGCTCTATCTATAGGAATGTTCAACTCTGTGAGTCGAATGCAATCATCACAAAGTAGTTTCTGAGAATGCTTCCATCAATTTTTTATGTGAAGATTTTCCTTTTCCACCACAGGCCTCAAAGCCCTCCAAATGTCCACTTGCAGATTCTAGAAAAAGAGGGTTTCAGAGCTGCTCTGTCAAGAGGAAAGTTCAATTCTTGAAGTGGAACACAAACATCACAAAGCAGTTTCTGAGAATGCTCCTGTTTAGTTTTTCTGTGAAGATGAACCCGTTTCCAACGAAATCTTCACAGAGTTCCACATATCCACTTGCAGAATCCAAAGAAAGGGAGTTTCAAAACTGCTCCATCAACAGGATTGTTCACCTCTGTGAGTTGAATGCAGTTATCACAGGAAACATTCTGAGAATGCTTCTGTCTAGGTTTGATGTGAAGATATACCCGTTTCGAAGGAAGGCCAGAAAGTGGTCCAAATATCCACTTGCAGATTCTACAAAAAGAGTGTTTGAAAGCTGAACTATGAAAGCAAGGTTCAACTCTGTGAGTTGAATGCAAACATCACAAAGAAGTTTCTCAGAATGCTTCCGTGTAGTTCTGGGAAGTTTATCCCGTTTCCAACGAAATCCTCAGAGAGGTCCAAATATCCACTTGCTGATTCTACAGAAAGTGTGTTTGGAAACTGCGCCATCTAAGGGAATGTTCAGCTCTGTTAGTTCAATCCAATGATCACTAAGAATTGTCTGTGAATGCTTCCGTTTGGTTTTTAGATGAAGTTATTTCCTTTACTACAGTAGGCCTCAAAGCAGTCCAAATCTCCAGTCGTAGATTCTACAAAAAGATTGTTTACAACCTGCTCTATCTATAGGAATGTTGAACTCTGTGAGTCGAATGCAATCATCACAAAGAAGTTTCTGAGAATGCTTCCATAAAGTTTTTATGTGAAGATTTTCCTTTTCCACCACAGGCCTCAAAGCCCTCCAAATGTCCACTTGCAGATTCTAGAAAAAGAGGGTTTCAGAGCTGCTCTGTCAAGAGGAAAGTTCAATTCTTTAAGTGGAACACAAACATCACAAAGCAGTTTCTGAGAATGCTCCTGTTTAGTTTTTCTGTGAAGATGAACCCGTTTCCAACGAAATCTGCACAGAGGTCCACATATCCACTTGCAGAATCCAAAGAAAGAGAGTTTCAAAACTGCTCCATCAGCAGGATTGTTCACCTCTGTGAGTTGAATGCAGTCATCACAGGAAACATTCTGAGAATGCTTCTGTCTAGGTTTGATGTGAAGATATACCCGTTTCGAAGGAAGGCCACAAAGTGGTCCAAATATCCACTTGCAGATTCTACAAAAAGAGTGTTTGAAAGCTGAACTATGAAAGCAAGGTTCAACTCTGTGAGTTGAATGCAAACATCACAAAGAAGTTTCTCACAATGCTTCCGTGTAGTTCTGGGAAGTTTATCCCGTTTCCAACGAAATCCTCAGAGAGGTCCAAATATCCACTTGCAGATTCTACAGAAAGTGTGTTTGGAAACTGCGCCATCTAAAGGAATGTTCAGCTCTGTTAGTTCAATGCAATGATCACTAAGAATTGTCTGTGAATGCTTCCGTTTGGTTTTTAGGTGAAGTTATTTCCTTTACTACAGTAGGCCTCAAAGCAGTCCAAATCTCCAATCGCAGATTCTACAAAAAGATTGTTTACAACCTGCTCTATCTATAGGAATGTTCAACTCTGTGAGTCGAATGCAATCATCACAAAGTAGTTTCTGAGAATGCTTCCATCTAGTTTTTATGTGAAGAGTTTCCTTTTCCACCACAGGCCTCAAAGCCCTCCAAATGTCCACTTGCAGATTCTAGAAAAAGAGGGTTTCAGAGCTGCTCTGTCGAGAGGAAAGTTCAATTCTTGAAGTGGAACACAAACATCACAAAGCAGTTTCTGAGAATGCTCCTGTTTAGTTTTTCTGTGAAGATGAACCCGTTTCCAACGAAATCTTCACAGAGGTCCACATATCCACTTGCAGAATCCAAAGAAAGAGAGTTTCAAAACTGCTCCATCAGCAGGATTGTTCACCTCTGTGAGTTGAATGCAGTCATCACAGGAAACATTCTGAGAATGCTTCTGTCTAGGTTTGATGTGAAGATATACCCGTTTCGAAAGAAGGCCACAAAGTGGTCCAAATATCCACTTGCAGATTCTACAAAAAGAGGGTTTGAAAGCTGAACTATGAAAGCAAGGTTCAACTCTGTGAGTTGAATGCAAACATCACAAAGAAGTTTCTCAGAATGCTTCCGTGTAGTTCTGGGAAGTTTATCCCGTTTCCAACGAAATCCTCAGAGAAGTCCAAATATCCACTTGCAGATTCTACAGAAAGTGTGTTTGGAAACTGCTCCATCTAAAGGAATGTTCAGCTCTGTTAGTTCAATCCAATGATCACTAAGAATTGTCTGTGAATGCTTCCGTTTGGTTTTTAGATGAAGTTATTTCCTTTACTACAGTAGGCCTCAAAGCAGTCCAAATCTCCAATCGCAGATTCTACAAAAAGTTTGTTTACATCCTGCTCTATCTATAGGAATGTTCAACTCTGTGAGTCGAATGCAATCATCACAAAGTAGTTTCTGAGAATGCTTCCATCTAGTTTTTATGTGAAGATTTTCCTTTTCCACCACAGGCCTCAAAGCCCTCCAAATGTCCACTTGCAGATTCTAGAAAAAGAGGGTTTCAGAGCTGCTCTGTCAAGAGGAAAGTTCAATTCTTGAAGTGGAACACAAACATCACAAAGCAGTTTCTGAGAATGCTCCTGTTTAGTTTTTCTGTGAAGATGAACCCGTTTCCAACGAAATCTTCACAGAGGTCCACATATCCACTTGCAGAATCCAAAGAAAGAGAGTTTCAAAACTGCTCCATCAGCAGGATTGTTCACCTCTGTGAGTTCAATGCAGTCATCACAGGAAACATTCTGAGAATGCTTCTGTCTAGGTTTGATGTGAAGATATACCCGTTTCGAAGGAAGGCCACAAAGTGGTCCAAATATCCACTTGCAGATTCTACAAAAAGAGTGTTTGAAAGCTGAACTAGGAAAGCAAGGTTCAACTCTGTGAGTTGAATGCAAACATCACAAAGAAGTTTCTCACAATGCTTCCGTGTAGTTCTGGGAAGTTTATCCCGTTTCCAACGAAATCCTCAGAGAGGTCCAAATATCCACTTGCAGATTCTACAGAAAGTGTGTTTGGAAACTGCTCCATCTAAAGGAATGTTCAGCTCTGTTAGTTCAATCCAATGATCACTAAGAATTGTCTGTGAATGCTTCCGTTTGGTTTTTAGATGAAGTTATTTCCTTTACTACAGTAGGCCTCAAAGCAGTCCAAATCTCCAATCGCAGATTCTACAAAAAGATTGTTTACAACCTGCTCTATCTATAGGAATGTTCAACTCTGTGAGTCGAAAGCCATCATCACAAAGTAGTTTCTGAGAATGCTTCCATCTAGTTTTTATGTGAAGATTTTCCTTTACCACCACAGGCCTCAAAGCCCTCCAAATGTCCACTTGCAGATTCTAGAATAAGAGGGTTTCAGAGCTGCTCTGTCAAGAGGAAAGTTCAATTCCTGAAGTGGAACACAAACATCACAAAGCAGTTTCTGAGAATGCTCCTGTTTAGTTTTTCTGTGAAGATGAACCCGTTTCCAACGAAATCTTCACAGAGGTCCACATATCCACTTGCAGAATCCAAAGAAAGAGAGTTTCAAAACTGCTCCATCAGCAGGATTGTTCACCTCTGTGAGTTGAATGCAGTCATCACAGGAAACATTCTGAGAATGCTTCTGTCTAGGTTTGATGTGAAGATATACCCGTTTCGAAGGAAGGCCAGAAAGTGGTCCAAATATCCACTTGCAGATTCTACAAAAAGAGTGTTTGAAAGCTGAACTATGAAAGCAAGGTTCAACTCTGTGAGTTGAATGCAAACATCACAAAGAAGTTTCTCAGAATGCTTCCGTGTAGTTCTGGGAAGTTTATCCCGTTTCCAACGAAATCCTCAGAGAGGTCCAAATATCCACTTGCAGATTCTACAGAAAGTGTGTTTGGAAACTGCGCCATCTAAAGGAATGTTCAGCTCTGTTAGTTCAATCCAATGATCACTAAGAATTGTCTGTGAATGCTTCCGTTTGGTTTTTAGATGAAGTTATTTCCTTTACTACAGTAGGCCTCAAAGCAGTCTAAATCTCCAATCGCAGATTCTACAAAAAGATTGTTTACAACCTGCTCTATCTATAGGAATGTTCAACTCTGTGAGTCGAATGCAATCATCACAAAGTAGTTTCTGAGAATGCTTCCATCTAGTTTTTATGTGAAGATTTTCCTTTTCCACCACAGGCCTCAAAGCCCTCCAAATGTCCACTTGCAGATTCTAGAAAAAGAGGGTTTCAGAGCTGCTCTGTCAAGAGGAAAGTTCAATTCTTGAAGTGGAACACAAACATCACAAAGCAGTTTCTGAGAATTCTTCTGTTTAGTTTTTCTGTGAAGATGAACCCGTTTCCAACGAAATGTTCACAGAGGTCCACATATCCACTTGCAGAATCCAAAGAAAGAGAGTTTCAAAACTGCTCCATCAACAGGATTGTTCACCTCTGTGAGTTGAATGCAGTCATCACAGAAAACATTCTGAGAATGCTTCTGTCTAGGTTTGATGTGAAGATATACCCGTTTCGAAGGAAGGCCACAAAGTGGTCCAAATATCCACTTGCAGATTCTACAAAAAGAGTGTTTGAACGCTGAACTATGAAAGCAAGGTTCAACTCTGTGAGTTGAATGCAAACATCACAAAGAAGTTTCTCACAATGCTTCCGTGTAGTTCTGGGAAGTTTATCCCGTTTCCAACGAAATCCTCAGAGTAGGTCCAAATATCCACTTGCAGATTCTACAGAAAGTGTGTTTGGAAACTGCGCCATCTAAAGGAATGTTCAGCTCTGTTAGTTCAATGCAATGATCACTAAGAATTGTCTGTGATTGCTTCTGTTTGGTTTTTAGATGAAGTTATTTCCTTTACTACAGTAGGCCTCAAAGCAGTCCAAATCTCCAATCGCAGATTCTACAAAAAGATTGTTTACAACCTGCTCTATCTATAGGAATGTTCAACTTTGTGAGTCGAATGCAATCATCACAAAGTAGTTTCTGAGAATGCTTCCATCTAGTTTTTATGTGAAGATTTTCCTTTTCCACCACAGGCCTCAAAGCCCTCCAAATGTCCACTTGCAGATTCTAGAATAAGAGGGTTTCAGAGCTGCTCTGTCAAGAGGAAAGTTCAATTCCTGTAGTGGAACACAAACATCACAAAGCAGTTTCTGAGAATGCTTCTGTTTAGTTTTTCTGTGAAGATGAACCCGTTTCCAACGAAATCTTCACAGAGGTCCACATATCCACTTGCAGAATCCAAAGAAAGAGAGTTTCAAAACTTCTCCATCAGCAGGATTGTTCACCTCTGTGAGTTGAATGCAGTCATCACAGGAAACATTCTGAGAATGCTTCTGTCTAGGTTTGATGTGAAGATATACCCGTTTCGAAGGAAGGCCACAAAGTGGTCCAAATATCCACTTGCAGATTCTACAAAAAGAGTGTTTCAAAGCTGAACTATGAAAGCAAGGTTCAACTCTGTGAGTTGAATGCAAACATCACAAAGAAGTTTCTCAGAATGCTTCCGTGTAGTTCTGGGAAGTTTATCCCGTTTCCAACGAAATCCTCAGAGAGGTCCAAATATCCACTTGCAGATTCTACAGAAAGTGTGTTTGGAAACTGCGCCATCTAAGGGAATCTTCAGCTCTGTTAGTTCAATCCAATGATCACTAAGAATTGTCTGTGAATGCTTCCGTTTGGTTTTTAGATGAAGTTATTTCTTTTACTACAGTAGGCCTCAAAGCAGTCCAAATCTCCAATCGCAGATTCTACAAAAAGATTGTTTACAACCTGCTCTATCTATAGGAATGTTCAACTCTGTGGGTCGAATGCAATCATCAAAAAGTACTTTCTGAGAATGCTTCCATCTAGTTTTTATGTGAAGATTTTCCTTTTCCACCACAGGCCTCAAAGCCCTCCAAATGTCCACTTGCAGATTCTAGAATAAGAGGGTTTCAGAGCTGCTCTGTCAAGAGGAAAGTTCAATTCCTGAAGTGGAACACAAACATCACAAAGCAGTTTCTGAGAATGCTTCTGTTTAGTTTTTCTGTGAAGATGAACCCGTTTCCAACGAAATCTTCACAGAGGTCCACATATCCACTTGCAGAATCCAAAGAAAGAGAGTTTCAAAACTGCTCCATCAACAGGATTGTTCACCTCTGTGAGTTGAATGCAGTCATCACAGGAAACATTCTGAGAATGCTTCTGTCTAGGTTTGATGTGAAGATATACCCCTTTCGAAGGAAGGCCACAAAGTGGTCCAAATATCCACTTGCAGATTCTACAAAAAGAGTGTTTGAAAGCTGAACTATGAAAGCAAGGTTCAACTACTGTGAGTTGAATGCAAACATCACAAAGAAGATTCTCAGAATGCTTCCGTGTAGTTCTGGGAAATTTAGCCCGTTTCCAACGAAATCCTCAGAGAGGTCCAAATATCCACTTGCAGATTCTACAGAAAGTGTGTTTGGAAACTGCTCCATCTAAAGGAATGTTCAGCTCTGTTAGTACAATCCAATGATCACTAAGAATTGTCTGTGAATGCTTCCGTTTGGTTTTTAGATGAAGTTATTTCCTTTACTACAGTAGGCCTCAAAGCAGTCCAAATCTCCAATCGCAGATTCTACAAAAAGATTGTTTACAACCTGCTCTATCTATAGGAATGTTCAACTCTGTGAGTCGAATGCAATCATCACATAGTAGTTTCTGAGAATGCTTCCATCTAGTTTTTTATGTGAAGATTTTCCTTTTCCACCACAGGCCTCAAAGCCCTCCAAATGTCCACTTGCAGATTCTAGAATAAGAGGGTTTCAGAGCTGCTCTGTCAAGAGGAAAGTTCAATTCCTGAAGTGGAACAAAAACATCACAAAGCAGTTTCTGAGAATGCTTCTGTTTAGTTTTTCTGTGAAGATGAACCCGTTTCCAACGAAATCTTCACAGAGGTCCACATATCCACTTGCAGAATCCAAAGAAAGAGAGTTTCAAAACTGCTCCATCAGCAGGATTGTTCACCTCTGTGAGTTGAATGCAGTCATCACAGGAAACATTCTGAGAATGCTTCTGTCTAGGTTTGATGTGAAGATATACCCGTTTCGAAGGAAGGCCACAAAGTGGTCCAAATATCCACTTGCAGATTCTACAAAAAGAGTGTTTGAAAGCTGAACTATGAAAGCAAGGTTCAACTCTGTGAGTTGAATGCAAACATCACAAAGAAGTTTCTCACAATGCTTCCGTGTAGTTCTGGGAAGTTTATCCCGTTTCCAACGAAATCCTCAGAGAAGTCCAAATATCCACTTGCAGATTCTACAGAAAGTGTGTTTGGAAACTGCTCCATCTAAAGGAATGTTCAGCTCTGTTAGTTCAATCCAATGATCACTAAGAATTGTCTGTGAATGCTTCCGTTTGGTTTTTAGATGAAGTTATTTCCTTTACTACAGTAGGCCTCAAAGCAGTCCAAATCTCCAATCACAGATTCTACAAAAAGATTGTTTACAACCTGCTCTATCTATAGGAATGTTCAACTCTGTGAGTCGAATGCAATCATCACAAAGTAGTTTCTGAGAATGCTTCCATCTAGTTTTTATGTGAAGATTTTCCTTTTCCACCACAGGCCTCAAAGCCCTCCAAATGTCCACTTGCAGATTCTAGAATAAGAGGGTTTCAGAGCTGCTCTGTTAAGAGGAAAGTTCAATTCCTGAAGTGGAACACAAACATCACAAAGCAGTTTCTGAGAATGCTTCTGTTTAGTTTTTCTGTGAAGATGAACCCGTTTCCAACGAAATCTTCACAGAGGTCCACATATCCACTTGCAGAATCCAAAGAAAGAGAGTTTCAAAACTGCTCCATCAGCAGGATTGTTCACCTCTGTGAGTTGAATGCAGTCATCACAGGAAACATTCTGAGAATGCTTCTGTCTAGGTTTGATGTGAAGATATACCCGTTTCGAAGGAAGGCCACAAAGTGTCCAAATATCCACTTGCAGATTCTACAAAAAGAGTGTTTGAAAGCTGAACTATGAAAGCAAGGTTCAACTCTGTGAGTTGAATGCAAACATCACAAAGAAGTTTCTCACAATGCTTCCGTGTAGTTCTGGGAAGTTTATCCCGTTTCCAACGAAATCCTCAGAGAAGTCCAAATATCCACTTGCAGATTCTACAGAAAGTGGGTTTGGAAACTGCTCCATCTAAAGGAATGTTCAGCTCTGTTAGTTCAATCCAATGATCACTAAGAATTGTCTGTGAATGCTTCCGTTTGGTTTTTAGATGAAGTTATTTCCTTTACTACAGTAGGCCTCAAAGCAGTCCAAATCTCCAATCGCAGATTCTACAAAAACATTGTTTACAACCTGCTCTATCTATAGGAATGTTCAACTCTGTGAGTCGAATGCAATCATCACAAAGTAGTTTCTGAGAATGCTTCCTTCTAGTTCTTATGTGAAGATTTTCCTTTTCCACCACAGGCCTCAAAGCCCTCCAAATGTCCACTTGCAGATTCTAGAAAAAGAGGGTTTCAGAGCTGCTCTGTCAAGAGGAAAGTTCAATTCTTCAAGTGGAACACAAACATCACAAAGCAGTTTCTGAGAATGCTTCTGTTTAGTTTTTCTGTGAAGATGAACCCGTTTCCAACGAAATCTTCACAGAGGTCCACATATCAACTTGCAGAATCCAAGGAAAGAGAGTTTCAAAAGTGCTCCATCAACAGGATTGTTCACCTCTGTGAGTTGAATGCAGTCATCACAGGAAACATTCTGAGAATGCTTCTGTCTAGGTTTGATGTGAAGATATACCCGTTTCGAAGGAAGGCCACAAAGTGGTCCAAATATCCACTTGCAGATTCTACAAAAAGAGGGTTTGAAAGCTGAACTATGAAAGCAAGGTTCAACTCTGTGAGTTGAATGCAAACATCACAAAGAAGTTTCTCAGAATGCTTCCGTGTAGTTCTGGGAAGTTTATCCCGTTTCCAACGAAATCCTCAGAGAGGTCCAAGTATCCACTTGCAGATTCTACAGAAAGTGTGTTTGGAAACTGCGCCATCTAAAGGAATGTTCAGCTCTGTTACTTCAATGCAATGATCACTAAGAATTGTCTGTGAATGCTTCCGTTTGGTTTTTAGATGAAGTTATTTCCTTTACTACAGTAGGCCTCAAAGCAGTCCAAATCTCCAATCGCAGATTCTACAAAAAGATTGTTTACAACCTGCTCTATCTATAGGAATATTCAACTCTGTGAGTCGAATGCAATCATCACAAAGTAGCTTCTGAGAATGCTTCCATCTAGTTTTTACGTGAAGATTTTCCTTTTCCACCACAGGCCTCAAAGCCCTCCAAATGTCCACTTGCAGATTCTAGAATAAGAGGGTTTCAGAGCTGCTCTGTCAAGAGGAAAGTTCAATTCTTGAAGTGCAACACAAACATAACAAAGCAGTTTCTGAGAATGCTCCTGTTTAGTTTTTCTGTGAAGATGAACCCGTTTCCGCGGAAATCTTCACAGAGGTCCACATATCCACTTGCAGAATCCAAAGAAAGAGAGTTTCAAAACTGCTCCATCAGCAGGATTGTCCATCTCTGTGAGTTGAATGCAGTCATCACAGGAAACATTCTGAGAATGCTTCTGTCTAGGTTTGATGTGAAGATATACCCGTTTCGAAGGAAGGCCACAAAGTGGTCCAAATATCCACTTGCAGATTCTACAAAAAGAGTATTTGAAAGCTGAACTATGAAAGCAAGGTTCAACTCTGTGAGTTGAATGCAAACATCACAAAGAAGTTTCTCAGAATGCTTCCGTGTAGTTCTGGGAAGTTTATCCCGTTTCCAACGAAATCCTCAGAGAAGTCCAAATATCCACTTGCAGATTCTACAGAAAGTGGGTTTGGAAACTGCTCCATCTAAAGGAATGTTCAGCTCTGTTAGTTCAATCCAATGATCACTAAGAATTGTCTGTGAATGCTTCCGTTTGGTTTTTAGATGAAGTTATTTCCTTTACTACAGTAGGCCTCAAAGCAGTCCAAATCTCCAATCGCAGATTCTACAAAAAGATTGTTTACAACCTGCTCTATCTATAGGAATGTTCAACTCTGTGAGTCGAATG
This sequence comes from Homo sapiens, assembly GCF_000001405.40. Lineage (NCBI taxonomy): Eukaryota > Metazoa > Chordata > Mammalia > Primates > Hominidae > Homo > Homo sapiens. The sequence continues at coordinate 53,122,604 of NC_000011.10, read as the reverse complement.
CAATCATCACAAAGTAGTTTCTGAGAATGCTTCCATCTAGTTTTTATGTGAAGATTTTCCTTTTCCACCAGAGGCCTCAAAGCCCTCCAAATGTCCACTTGAAGATTGTAGAATAAGAGGGTTTCAGAGCTGCTCTGTCAAGAGGAAAGTTCAATTCCTGAAGTGGAACACAAACATCACAAAACAGTTTCTGAGAATGCTTCTGTTTAGTTTTTCTGTGAAGATGAACCCGTTTCCAACGAAATCCTCAAAGAGGTCCACATATCCACTTGCAGAATCCAAAGAAAGAGAGTTTCAAAACTGCTCCATCAACAGGATTGTTCACCTCTGTGAGTTGAATGCAGTCATCACAGGAAACATTCTGAGAATGCTTCTGTCTAGGTTTGATGTGAAGATATACCCGTTTCGAAGGAAGGCCACAAAGTTGTCAAATATCCACTTGCAGATCCTACAAAAAGAGTGTTTGAAAGCTGAACTATGAAAGCAAGGTTCAACTCTGTGAGTTGAATGCAAACATCACAAAGAAGTTTCTCAGAATGCTTCCGTGTAGTTCTGGGAAGTTTATCCCGTTTCCAACGAAATCCTCAGAGAAGTCCAAATATCCACTTGCAGATTCTACAGAAAGTGGGTTTGGCAACTGCTCCATCTAAAGGAATGTTCAGCTCTGTTAGTTCAATGCAATGATCACTAAGAATTGTCTGTGAATGCTTCCGTTTGGTTTTTAGATGAAGTTATTTCCTTTACTACAGTAGGACTCAAAGCAGTCCAAATCTCCAATCGCAGATTCTACAAAAAGAATGTTTACAACCTGCTCTATCTATAGGAATGTTCAACTCTGTGAGTCGAATGCAATCATCACAAAGTAGTTTCTGAGAATGCTTCCATCTAGTTTTTATGTGAAGATTTTCCTTTTCCACCACAGGCCTCAAAGCCCTCCAAATGTCCACTTGCAGATTCTAGAATAAGAGGATTTCAGAGCTGCTCTGTTAAGAGGAAAGTTCAATTCCTGAAGTGGAACACAAACATCACAAAGCAGTTTCTGAGAATGCTTCTGTTTAGTTTTTCTGTGAAGATGAACCCGTTTCCAACGAAATCTTCACAGAGGTCCACATATCAACTTGCAGAATCCAAAGAAAGAGAGTTTCAAAACTGCTCCATCAACAGGATTGTTCACCTCTGTGAGTTGAATGCAGTCATCACAGGAAACATTCTGAGAATGCTTCTGTCTAGGTTTGATGTGAAGATATACCCGTTTCGAAGGAAGGCCACAAAGTGGTCCAAATATCCACTTGCAGATTCTACAAAAAGAGTGTTTGAAAGCTGAACTATGAAAGCAAGGTTCAACTCTGTGAGTTGAATGCAAACATCACAAAGAAGTTTCTCACAATGCTTCCGTGTAGTTCTGGGAAGTTTATCCCGTTTCCAACGAAATCCTCAGAGAGGTCCAAATATCCACTTGCAGATTCTACAGAAAGTGTGTTTGGAAACTGCGCCATCTAAAGGAATGTTCAGCTCTGTTAGTTCAATGCAATGATCACTAAGAATTGTCTGTGAATGCTTCCGTTTGGTTTTTAGATGAAGTTATTTCCTTTACTACAGTAGGCTTCAAAGCAGTCCAAATCTCCAATCGCAGATTCTACAAAAAGATTGTTTACAACCTGCTCTATCTATAGGAATGTTCAACTCTGTGAGTCGAATGCAATCATCACAAAGTAGTTTCTGAGAATGCTTCCATCTAGTTTTTATGTGAAGATTTTCCTTTTCCACCACAGGCCTCAAAGCCCTCCAAATGTCCACTTGCAGATTCTAGAAAAAGAGGGTTTCAGAGCTGCTCTGTCAAGAGGAATGTTCAATTCCTGAAGTGGAACACAAACATCACAAAGCAGTTTCTGAGAATGCTCCTGTTTAGTTTTTCTGTGAAGATGAACCCGTTTCCAACGAAATCTTCACAGAGGTCCACATATCCACTTGCAGAATCCAAAGAAAGAGAGTTTCAAAACTGCTCCATCAGCAGGATTGTTCACCTCTGTGAGTTGAATGCAGTCATCACAGGAAACATTCTGAGAATGCTTCTGTCTAGGTTTGATGTGAAGATATACCCGTTTCGAAGGAAGGCCACAAAGTGGTCCAAATATCCACTTGCAGATTCTACAAAAAGAGTGTTTGAAAGCTGAACTATGAAAGCAAGGTTCAACTCTGTGAGTTGAATGCAAACATCACAAAGAAGTTTCTCAGCATGCTTCCGTGTAGTTCTGGGAAGTTTATCCCGTTTCCAACGAAATCCTCAGAGAGGTCCAAATATCCACTTGCAGATTCTACAGAAAGTGTGTTTGGAAACTGCTCCATCTAAAGGAATGTTCAGCTCTGTTAGTTCAATCCAATGATCACTAAGAATTGTCTGTGAATGCTTCCGTTTGTTTTTTAGATGAAGTTATTTCCTTTACTACAGTAGGCCTCAAAGCAGTCCAAATCTCCAATCGCAGATTCTACAAAAAGATTGTTTACAACCTGCTCTATCTATAGGAATGTTCAACTCTGTGAGTCGAATGCAATCATCACAAAGGAGTTTCTGAGAATGCTTCCATCTAGTTTTTATGGGAAGATTTTCCTTTTCCACCACAGGCCTCAAAGCCCTCCAAATGTCCACTTGCAGATTCTAGAAAAAGAGGGTTTCAGAGCTGCTCTGTCAAGAGGAAAGTTCAATTCTTGAAGTGGAACACAAACATCACAAAGCAGTTTCTGAGAATGCTTCTGTTTAGTTTTTCTGTGAAGATGAACCCGTTTCCAACGAAATCTTCACAGAGGTCCACATATCCACTTGCAGAATCCAAAGAAAGAGAGTTTCAAAACTGCTCCATCAGCAGGATTGTTCACCTCTGTGAGTTGAATGCAGTCATCACAGGAAACATTCTGAGAATGCTTCTGTCTAGGTTTGATGTGAAGATATACCCGTTTCGAAGGAAGGCCACAAAGTGGTCCAAATATCCACTTGCAGATTCTACAAAAAGAGTGTTTGAAAGCTGAACTATGAAAGCAAGGTTCAACTCTGTGAGTTGAATGCAAACATCACAAAGAAGTTTCTCAGAATGCTTCCGTGTAGTTCTGGGAAGTTTATCCGGTTTCCAACGAAATCCTCAGAGAAGTCCAAATATCCACTTGCAGATTCTACAGAAAGTGTGTTTGGAAACTGCTCCATCTAAAGGAATGTTCAGCTCTGTTAGTTCAATCCAATGATCACTAAGAATTGTCTGTGAATGCTTCCGTTTGGTTTTTAGATGAAGTTATTTCCTTTACTACAGTAGGCCTCAAAGCAGTCCAAATCTCCAATCGCAGATTCTACAAAAAGATTGTTTACAACCTGCTCTATCTATAGGAATGTTCAACTCTGTGAGTCGAATGCAATCATCACAAAGTAGTTTCTGAGAATGCTTCCATCTAGTTTTTATGTGAAGATTTTCCTTTTCCACCACAGGCCTCAAAGCCCTCCAAATGTCCACTTGCAGATTCTAGAAAAAGAGGGTTTCAGAGCTGCTCTGTCAAGAGGAAAGTTCAATTCTTGAAGTGGAACAGAAACATCACAAAGCAGTTTCTGGGAATGCTTCTGTTTAGTTTTTCTGTGAAGATGAACCCGTTTCCAACGAAATCTTCACAGAGGTCCACATATCCACTTGCAGAATCCAAAGAAAGAGAGTTTCAAAACTGCTCCATCAGCAGAATTGTTCACCTCTGTGAGTTGAATGCAGTCATCACAGGAAACATTCTGAGAATGCTTCTGTCTAGGTTTGATGTGAAGATATACCCGTTTCGAAGGAAGGCCACAAAGTGGTCCAAATATCCACTTGCAGATTCTACAAAAAGAGTGTTTGAAAGCTGAACTATGAAAGCAAGGTTCAACTCTGTGAGTTGAATGCAAACATCACAAAGAAGTTTCTCAGAATACTTCCCTGTAGTTCTGGGAAGCATATCCCGTTTCCAACGAAATCCTCAGAGAAGTCCAAATATCCACTTGCAGATTCTACAGAAAGTGGGTTTGGAAACTGCTCCATCTAAAGGAATGTTCAGCTCTGTTAGTTCAATGCAATGATCACTAAGAATTGTCTGTGAATGCTTCCGTTTGGTTTTTAGATGAAGTTATTTCCTTTACTACAGTAGGCCTCAAAGCAGTCCAAATCTCCAATCGCAGATTCTACAAAAAGATTGTTTACAACCTGCTCTATCTATAGGAATGTTCAACTCTGTGAGTCGAATGCAATCATCACAAAGTAGTTTCTGAGAATGCTTCCATCTAGTTTTTATGTGAAGATTTTCCTTTTCCACCACAGGCCTCAAAGCCCTCCAAATGTCCACTTGCAGATTCTAGAATAAGAGGGTTTCAGAGCTGCTCTGTCAAGAGGAAAGTTCAATTCCTGAAGTGGAACACAAACATCACAAAGCAGTTTCTGAGAATGCTTCTGTTTAGTTTTTCTGTGAAGATGAACCCGTTTCCAACGAAATCTTCACAGAGGTCCACATATCCACTTGCAGAATCCAAAGAAAGAGAGTTTCAAAACTGCTCCATCAGCAGGATTGTTCACCTCTGTGAGTTGAATGCAGTCATCACAGGAAACATTCTGAGAATGCTTCTGTCTAGGTTTGATGTGAAGATATACCCGTTTCGAAGGAAGGCCACAAAGTGGTCCAAATATCCACTTGCAGATTCTACAAAAAGAGTGTTTGAAAGCTGAACTATGAAAGCAAGGTTCAACTCTGTGAGTTGAATGCAAACATCACAAAGAAGTTTCTCAGAATGCTTCCGTGTAGTTCTGGGAAGTTTATCCCGTTTCCAACGAAATCCTCAGAGAAGTCCAAATATCCACTTGCAGATTCTACAGAAAGTGTGTCTGGAAACTGCGCCATCTAAAGGAATGTTCAGCTCTGTTAGTTCAATGCAATGATCACTAAGAATTGTCTGTGAATGCTTCCGTTTGGTTTTTAGATGAAGTTATTTCCTTTACTACAGTAGGCCTCAAAGCAGTCCAAATCTCCAATCGCAGATTCTACAAAAAGATTGTTTTCAACCTGCTCTATCTATAGGAATGTTCAACTCTGTGAGTCGAATGCAATCATCACAAAGTAGTTTCTGAGAATGCTTCCATCTAGTTTTTATGTGAAGATTTTCCTTTTCCACCACAGGCCTCAAAGCCCTCCAAATGTCCACTTGCAGATTCTAGAAAAAGAGGGTTTCAGAGCTGCTCTATCAAGAGGAAAGTTCAGTTCCTGATGTGGAACACAAACATCACAAAGCAGTTTCTGAGAATGCTCCTGGTTATTTTTTCTGTGAAGATGAACCCGTTTCCAACGAAATCTTCACAGAGGTCCACATATCCACTTGCAGAATCCAAAGAAAGAGAGTTTCAAAACTGCTCCATCAGCAGGATTGTTTACCTCTGTGAGTTGAATGCAGTCATCACAGGAAACATTCTGAGAATGCTTCTGTCTAGGTTTGATGTGAAGATATACCCGTTTGGAAGGAAGGCCACAAAGTGGTCCAAATATCCACTTGCAGATTCTACAAAAAGAGTTTTTGAAAGCTGAACTATGAAAGCAAGGTTCAACTCTGTGAGTTGAATGCAAACATCACAAAGAAGTTTCTCAGAATACTTCCGTGTAGTTCTGGGAAGTTTATCCCGTTTCCAACGAAATCCTCAGAGAGGTCCAAATATCCACTTGCAGATTCTACAGAAAGTGTGTTTGGAAACTGCTCCATCTAAAGGAATGTTCAGCTCTGTTAGTTCAATCCAATGATCACTAAGAATTGTCTGTGAATGCTTCCGTTTGGTTTTTAGATGAAGTTATTTCCTTTAGTACAGTAGGCCTCAAAGCAGTCCAAATCTCCAATCGCAGATTCTACAAAAAGATTGTTTACAACCTGCTCAATCTATAGGAATGTTCAACTCTGTGAGTCGAATGCAATCATCACAAAGTAGTTTCTGAGAATGCTTCCATCTAGTTTTTATGTGAAGATTTTCCTTTTCCACCACAGGCCCCAAAGCCCTCCAAATGTCCACTTGCAGATTCTAGAAAAAGAGGGTTTCAGAGCTGCTCTGTCAAGAGGAAAGTTCAATTCTTGAAGTGGAACACAAACATCACAAAGCAGTTTCTGAGAATGCTCCTGTTTAGTTTTTATGTGAAGATGAACCCGTTTCCAATGAAATCTTCAAACAGGTCCACACATCCATTTGCAGATTCCAAAGAAAGAGAGTTTCAAAACTGCTCCATCAACAGGATTGTTCACCTCTGTGAGTTGAATGCAGTCATCACAGGAAACATTCTGAGAATGCTTCTGTCTAGGTTTGATGTGAAGATATACCCGTTTCGAAGGAAGGCCACAAAGTGGTCCAAATATCCACTTGCAGATTCTACAAAAAGAGTGTTTGAAAGCTGAACTAAGAAAGCAAGGTTCAACTCTGTGAGTTGAATGCAAACATCACAAAGAAGTTTCTCAGAATGCTTCCGTGTAGTTCTGGGAAGTTTATCCCGTTTCCAACGAAATCGTCAGAGAAGTCCAAATATCCACTTGCAGATTCTACAGAAAGTGTGTTTGGAAACTGCGCCATCGAAAGGAATGTTCAGCTCTGTTAGTTCAATCCAATGATCACTAAGAATTGTCTGTGAATGCTTCCGTTTGGTTTTTAGATGAAGTTATTTCCTTTACCACAGTAGGCCTCAAAGCAGTCCAAATCTCCAATCGCAGATTCTACAAAAAGATTGTTTACAACCTGCTCTATCTATAGGAATGTTCAACTCTGTGAGTCGAATGCAATCATCACAAAGTAGTTTCTGAGAATGCTTCCATCTAGTTTTTATGGGAAGATTTTCCTTTTCCACCACAGGCCTCAAAGCCCTCCAAATGTCCACTTGCAGATTCTAGAAAAAGAGGGTTTCAGAGCTGCTCTGTCGAGAGGAAAGTTCAATTCTTGAAGTGGAACACAAACATCACAAAGCAGTTTCTGAGAATGTTTCTGTTTAGTTTTTCTGTGAACATGAAACCGTTTCCAACGAAATCTTCACAGAGGTCCACATATCCACTTGCAGAATCCAAAGAAAGAGAGTTTCAAAACTGCTCCATCAGCAGGATTGTTCACCTCTGTGAGTTGAATGCAGTCATCACAGGAAACATTCTGAGAATGCTTCTGTCTAGGTTTGATGTGAAGATATACCCGTTTCGAAGGAAGGCCACAAAGTGGTCCAAGTATCCACTTGCAGATTCTACAAAAAGAGTGTTTGAAAGCTGAACTATGAAAGCAAGGTTCAACTCTGTGAGTAGAATGCAAACATCACAAAGAAGTTTCTCAGAATGCTTCCGTGTAGTTCTGGGAAGTTTATCCCGTTTCCAACGAAATCCTCAGAGAGGTCCAAATATCCACTTGCAGATTCTACAGAAAGTGGGTTTGGAAACTGCTCCATCTAAAGGAATGTTCAGCTCTGTTAGTTCAATCCAATGATCACTAAGAATTGTCTGTGAATGCTTCCGTTTGGTTTTTAGATGAAGTTATTTCCTTTACTACAGTAGGCCTCAAAGCAGTCCAAATCTCCAATCGCAGATTCTACAAAAAGATTGTTTACAACCTGCTCTATCTATAGGAATGTTCAACTCTGTGAGTCGAAAGCCATCATCACAAAGTAGTTTCTGAGAATGCTTCCATCTAGTTTTTATGTGAAGATTTTCCTTTTCCACCAGAGGCCTCAAAGCCCTCCAAATGTCCACTTGCAGATTCTAGAATAAGAGGGTTTCAGAGCTGCTCTGTCAAGAGGAAAGTTCAATTCCTGAAGTGGAACACAAACATCACAAAGCAGTTTCTGAGAATGCTTCTGTTTAGTTTTTCTGTGAAGATGAACCCGTTTCCAACGAAATCTTCACAGAGGTCCACATATCAACTTGCAGAATCCAAAGAAAGAGAGTTTCAAAAGTGCTCCATCAACAGGATTGTTCACCTCTGTGAGTTGAATGCAGTCATCACAGGAAACATTCTGAGAATGCTTCTGTCTAGGTTTGATGTGAAGATATACCCGTTTCGAAGGAAGGCCACAAAGTGGTCCAAATATCCACTTGCAGATTCTACAAAAACAGTGTTTGAAAGCAGAACTATGAAAGCAAGGTTCAACTCTGTGAGTTGAATGCAAACATCACAAAGAAGTTTCTCAGAATGCTTCCGTGTAGTTCTGGGAAGTTTATCCCGTTTCCAACGAAATCCTCAGAGAAGTCCAAATATCCACTTGCAGATTCTACAGAAAGTGTGTTTGGAAACTGCTCCATCTAAAGGAATGTTCAGCTCTGTTAGTTCAATGCAATGATCACTAAGAATTGTCTGTGAATGCTTCCGTTTGGTTTTTAGATGAAGTTATTTCCTTTACTACAGTAGGCCTCAAAGCAGTCCAAATCTCCAATCGCAGATTCTACAAAAAGATTGTTTACAACCTGCTCTATGTATAGGAATGTTCAACTCTGTGAGTCGAATGCAATCATCACAAAGTAGTTTCTGAGAATGCTTCCATCTAGTTTTTATGTGAAGATTTTCCTTTTCCACCACAGGCCTCAAAGCCCTCCAAATGTCCACTTGCAGATTCTAGAAAAAGAGGGTTTCAGAGCTGCTCTGTCAAGAGGAAAGTTCAATTCTTGAAGTGGAACACAAACATCACAAAGCAGTTTCTGAGAATGCTTCTGTTTAGTTTTTCTGTGAAGATGAACCCGTTTCCAACGAAATCTTCACAGAGGTCCACATATCCACTTGCAGAATCCAAAGAAAGAGAGTTTCAAAACTGCTCCATCAGCAGGATTGTTCACCTCTGTGAGTTGAATGCAGTCATCACAGGAAACATTCTGAGAATGCTTCTGTCTAGGTTTGATGTGAAGATATACCCGTTTCGAAGGAAGGCCACAAAGTGGTCCAAATATCCACTTGCAGATTCTACAAAAAGAGTGTTTGAAAGCTGAACTATGAAAGCAAGGTTCAATTGCTGTGAGTTGAATGCAAACATCACAAAGAAGTTTCTCAGAATGCTTTCGTGTAGTTCTGGGAAATTTATCCCATTTCCAACGAAATCCTCAGAGAGGTCCAAATATCCACTTGCAGATTCTACAGAAAGTGTGTTTGGAAACTGCTGCATCTAAAGGAATGTTCAGCTCTCTGAGTTCAATCCAATCATCACAAAGAATTTTCTGTGAATGCTTCCGTTTGGTTTTTAGATGAAGTTATTTCCTTTAGTACCGTAGGCCTCAATGCAGTCCAAATCAGCAATCACAGATTCTGCAAAAGGAGTGTTTACAAACTGCTCTATCTATTGGAAGGTTCAACTCTGTGAGTCGAATGCAATCATCACAAAGTAGGTTCTCAGAATGCTTCCATCTAGTTTTTATGTGAAGAGTTTCCTTTTCCACCACAGGCCTAAAAGCCCTCCAAATGTCCACTTGCAGATTCTAGAAAAAGAGGGTTTCAGAGCTGCTCTGTGAAGAGGAAAGTTCAATTCCTGAAGTGGAACACAAACATCACAAAGCAGTTTCTGAGAATGCTCCTGTTTAGTTTTTCTGTGAAGATGAACCCGTTTCCAACGAAATCTTCACAGAGGTCCACATATCCACTTGCAGAATCCAAAGAAAGAGAGTTTCAACACTGCTCCATCAGCAGGATTGTTCACCTCTGTGAGTTGAATGCAGTCATCAAAGGAAACATTCTGAGAATGCTTCTGTCTAGGTTTGATGTGAAGATATACCCGTTTCGAAGGAAGGCCACAAAGTGGTCCAAATATCCACTTGCAGATTCTACAAAAAGAGTGTTTGAAAGCTGAACTATGAAAGCAAGGTTCAACTCTGTGAGTTGAATGCAAACATCACAAAGAAGTTTCTCACAATGCTTCCGTGTAGTTCTGGGAAGTTTATCCCGTTTCCAACGAAATCCTCAGAGAAGTCCAAATATCCACTTGCAGATTCTACAGAAAGTGTGTTTGGAAACTGCGCCGTCTAAAGCAATGTTCAGCTCTGTTAGTTCAATGCAATGATCACTAAGAATTGTCTGTGAATGCTTCCGTTTGGTTTTTAGATGAAGTTATTTCCTTTACTACAGTAGGCCTCAAAGCAGTCCAAATCTCCAATCGCAGATTCTACAAAAAGATTGTTTACAACCTGCTCTATCTATAGGAATGTTCAACTCTGTGAGTCGAATGCAATCATCACAAAGTAGTTTCTGAGAATGCTTCCATCTAGTTTTTATGTGAAGATTTTCCTTTTCCACCACAGGCCTCAAAGCCCTCCAAATGTCCACTTGCAGATTCTAGAATAAGAGGGTTTCAGAGCTGCTCTGTCAAGAGGAAAGTTCAATTCCTGAAGTGGAACACAAACATCACAAAGCAGTTTCTGAGAATGCTTCTGTTTAGTTTTTCTGTGAAGATGAACCCGTTTCCAACGAAATCTTCACAGAGGTCCACATATCCACTTGCAGAATCCAAAGAAAGAGAGTTTCAAAACTGCTCCATCAGCAGGATGGTTCACCTCTGTGAGTTGAATGCAGTCATCACAGGAAACATTCTGAGAATGCTTCTGTCTAGGTTTGATGTGAAGATATACCCGTTTCGAAGGAAGGCCACAAAGTGGTCCAAATATCCACTTGCAGATTCTACAAAAAGAGTGTTTGAAAGCTGAACTATGAAAGCAAGGTTCAACTCTGTGAGTTGAATGCAAACATCACAAAGAAGTTTCTCACAATGCTTCCGTGTAGTTCTGGGAAGTTTATCCCGTTTCCAACGAAATCCTCAGAGAGGTCCAAATATCCACTTGCAGATTCTACAGAAAGTGTGTTTGGAAACTGCGCCATCTAAAGGAATGTTCAGCTCTGTTAGTTCAATGCAATGATCACTAAGAATTGTCTGTGAATGCTTCCGTTTGGTTTTTAGATGAAGTTATTTCCTTTACTACAGTAGGCCTCAAAGCAGTCCAAATCTCCAATCGCAGATTCTACAAAAAGATTGTTTACAACCTGATCTATCTATAGGAATGTTCAACTCTGTGAGTCGAATGCAATCATCACAAAGTAGTTTCTGAGAATGCTTCCATCTAGTTTTTATGTGAAGATTTTCCTTTTCCACCACAGGCCTCAAAGCCCTCCAAATGTCCACTTGCAGATTCTAGAAAAAGAGGGTTTCAGAGCTGCTCTGTCAAGAGGAAAGTTCAATTCCTGAAGTGGAACACAAACATCACAAAGCAGTTTCTGAGAATGCTTCTGTTTATTTTTTCTGTGAAGATGAACCCGTTTCCAATGAAATCTTCACAGAGGTCCACATATCCACTTGCAGAATCCAAAGAAAGAGAGTTTCAAAACTGCTCCATCAGCAGGATTGTTCACCTCTGTGAGTTGAATGCAGTCATCACAGGAAACATTCTGAGAATGCTTCTGTCTAGGTTTGATGTGAAGATATACACGTTTCGAAAGAAGGCCACAAAGTGGTCCAAATATCCACTTGCAGATTCTACAAAAAGAGTGTTTGAAAGCTGAACTATGAAAGCAAGGTTCAACTCTGTGAGTTGAATGCAAACATCACAAAGAAGTTTCTCAGAATGCTTCCGTGTAGTTCTGGGAAGTTTATCCCGTTTCCAACGAAATCCTCAGAGAGGTCCAAATATCCACTTGCAGATTCTACAGAAAGTGTGTTTGGAAACTGCGCCATCTAAAGGAATGTTCAGCTCTGTTAGTTCAATGCAATGATCACTAAGAATTGTCTGTGAATGCTTCCGTTTGGTTTTTAGATGAAGTTATTTCCTTTACTACAGTAGGCCTCAAAGCAGTCCAAATCTCCAATGGCAGATTCTACAAAAAGATTGTTTTCAACCTGCTCTATCTATAGGAATGTTCAACTCTGTGAGTCGAATGCAATCATCACAAAGTAGTTTCTGAGAATGCTTCCATCTAGTTTTTATGTGAAGATTTTCCTTTTCCACCACAGGCCTCAAAGCCCTCCAAATGTCCACTTGCAGATTCTAGAAAAAGAGGGTTTCAGAGCTGCTCTGTCAAGAGGAAAGTTCAATTCCTGAAGTGGAACACAAACATCACAAAGCAGTTTCTGAGAATGCTCCTGTTTAGTTTTTCTGTGAAGATGAACCCGTTTCCAATGAAATCTTCACAGAGGTCCACATATCCACTTGCAGAATCCAAAGAAAGAGAGTTTCAAAACTGCACCATCAGCAGGATTGTTCACCTCTGTGAGTTGAATGCAGTCATCACAGGAAATATTCTGAAAATGCTTCTGTCTAGGTTTGATGTGAAGATATACCCGTTTCGAAGGAAGGCCACAAAGTGGTCCAAATATCCACTTGCAGATTCTAGAGAAAGAGTGTTTGAAAGCTGAACTATGAAAGCAAGGTTCAACTCTGTGAGTTGAATGCAAACATCACAAAGAAGTTTCTCAGAATGCTTCCGTGTAGTTCTGGGAAGTTTATCCCGTTTCCAACGAAATCCTCAGAGAGGTCCAAATATCCACTTGCAGATTCTACAGAAAGTGTGTTTGGAAACTGCTCCATCTAAAGGAATGTTCAGCTCTGTTAGTTCAATCCAATGATCACTAAGAATTGTCTGTGAATGCTTCCGTTTGGTTTTTAGATGAAGTTATTTCCTTTACTACAGTAGGCCTCAAAGCAGTCCAAATCTCCAATCGCAGATTCTACAAAAACATTGTTTACAACCTGCTCTATCTATAGGAATGTTCAACTCTGTGAGTCGAATGCAATCATCACAAAGTAGTTTCTGAGAATGCTTCCATCTAGTTTTTATGGGAAGATTTTCCTTTTCCACCACAGGCCTCAAAGCCCTCCAAATGTCCACTTGCAGATTCTAGAAAAAGAGGGTTTCAGAGCTGCTCTGTCAAGAGGAAAGTTCAATTCTTGAAGTGGAACACAAACATCACAAAGCAGTTTCTGAGAATGCTCCTGTTTAGTTTTTCTGTGAAGATGAACCCGTTTCCAACGAAATCTTCACAGAGGTCCACATATCCACTTGCAGAATCCAAAGAAAGAGAGTTTCAAAACTGCTCCATCAGCAGGATTGTTCACCTCTGTGAGTTGAATGCAGTCATCACAGGAAACATTCTGAGAATGCTTCTGTCTAGGTTTGATGTGAAGATATACCCGTTTCGAAGGAAGGCCACAAAGTGGTCCAAATATCCACTTGCAGATTCTACAAAAAGAGTGTTTGAAAGCTGAACTATGAAAGCAAGGTTCAACTCTGTGAGTTGAATGCAAACATCACAAAGAAGTTTCTCAGAATGCTTCCGTGTAGTTCTGGGAAGTTTATCCCGTTTCCAACGAAATCCTCAGAGAGGTCCAAATATCCACTTGCAGATTCTACAGAAAGTGGGTTTGGAAACTGCTCCATCTAAAGGAATGTTCAGCTCTGTTAGTTCAATCCAATGATCACTAAGAATTGTCTGTGAATGCTTCCGTTTGGTTTTTAGATGAAGTTATTTCCTTTACTACAGTAGGCCTCAAAGCAGTCCAAATCTCCAATCGCAGATTCTACAAAAAGATTGTTTACAACCTGCTCTATCTATAGGAATGTTCAACTCTGTGAGTCGAAAGCCATCATCACAAAGTAGTTTCTGAGAATGCTTCCATCTAGTTTTTATGTGAAGATTTTCCTTTTCCACCACAGGCCTCAAAGCCCTCCAAATGTCCACTTGCAGATTCTAGAATAAGAGGGTTTCAGAGCTGCTCTGTCAAGAGGAAAGTTCAATTCCTGAAGTGGAACACAAACATCACAAAGCAGTTTCTGAGAATGCTCCTGTTTAGTTTTTCTGTGAAGATGAACCCGTTTCCAACGAAATCTTCACAGAGGTCCACATATCCACTTGCAGAATCCAAAGAAAGAGAATTTCAAAACTGCTCCATCAGAAGGATTGTTCACCTCTGTGAGTTGAATGCAGTCATCACAGGAAACATTCTGAGAATCCTTCTGTCTAGGTTTGATGTGAAGATATACCCGTTTGGAAGGAAGGCCACAAAGTGGTCCAAATATCCACTTGTAGATTCTACAAAAAGAGTGTTTGAAAGCTGAACTATGAAAGCAAGGTTCAACACTGTGAGTTGAATGCAAACATCCAAAGAAGTTTCTCACAATGCTTCCGTGTAGTTCTGGGAAGTTTATCACGTTTCCAACGAAATCCTCAGAGAGGTCCAAATATCCACTTGCAGATTCCACAGAAATTGTGTTTGGCAACTGCTCCATCTAAAGGAATGTTTAGCTCTCTGAGTTCAATCCAATCATCACAAAGAATTTTTTGTGAATGCTTCTGTTTGGTTGTTAGATGAAGTTATTTCCTTTAGTACCGTAGGCCTCAATGCAGTCCAAATCAGCAATCACACATTCTACAAAAAGAGTGTTTACAAACTGCGCTATCCATTGGAAGTTTCAACTCTGTGAGTCGAATGCAATCATCATAAAGTAGATTCTCAGAATGCTTCCATCTAGTTTTTATGTGAAGATTTTCCTTTTCCACCACAGGCCTCAAAGCCCTCCAAATGTCCACTTGCAGATTCTAGAAAAAGAGGGTTTCAGAGCTGCTCTGTCAAGAGGAAAGTTCAATTCTTGAAGTGGAACAGAAACATCACAAAGCAGTTTCTGGGAATGCTCCTGTTTAGTTTTTCTGTGAAGATGAACCCGTTTTCCAACGAAATCTTCACAGAGGTCCACATATCCACTTGCAGAATCCAAAGAAAGAGAGTTTCAAAACTGCTCCATCAGCAGGATTGTTCACCTCTGTGAGTTGAATGCAGTCATCACAGGAAACATTCTGAGAATGCTTCTGTCTAGGTTTGATATGAAGATATACCCGTTTCGAAGCAAGGCCACAAAGTGGTCCAAATATCCACTTGCAGATTCTACAAAAAGAGTGTTTGAAAGCTGAACTATGAACGCAAGGTTCAACACTGTGAGTTGAACGCAAACATCACAAGAAGTTTCTCAGAATGCTTCGGTGTAGTTCTGGGAAGTTTATCCCGTTTCCAACGAAATCCTCAGAGGAGTCCAAATATCCACTTGCAGTTTCTACAGAAAGTGTGTTTGGAAACTGCTCCATCTAAAGGAATGTTCAGCTCTGTTAGTTCAATCCAATGATCACTAAGAATTGTCTGTGAATGCTTCCGTTTGGTTTTTAGATGAAGTTATTTCCTTTACTACAGTAGGCCTCAAAGCAGTCCAAATCTCCAATCGCAGATTCTACAAAAAGATTGTTTACAACCTGCTCTATCTATAGGAATGTTCAACTCTGTGAGTCGAATGCAATCATCACAAAGTAGTTTCTGAGAATGCTTCCATCTAGTTTTTATGTGAAGATTTTCCTTTTCCACCACTGGCCTCAAAGCCCTCCAAATGTCCACTTGCAGATTCTAGAATAAGAGGGTTTCAGAGCTGCTCTGTCAAGAGGAAAGTTCAATTCCTGAAGTGGAACACAAAAATCACAAAGCAGTTTCTGAGAATGCTTCTGTTTAGTTTTTCTCTGAAGATGAACCCGTTTCCAACGAAATCTTCACAGAGGTCCACATATCAACTTGCAGAATCCAAAGAAAGAGAGTTTCAAAAGTGCTCCATCAACAGGATTGTTCACCTCTGTGAGTTGAATGCAGTCATCACAGGAAACATTCTGAGAATGCTTCTGTCTAGGTTTGATGTGAAGATATACCCGTTTCGAAGGAAGGCCAGAAAGTGGTCCAAATATCCACTTGCAGATTCTACAAAAAGAGTGTTTGAAAGCTGAACTATGAAAGCAAGGTTCAACTCTGTGAGTTGAATGCAAACATCACAAAGAAGTTTCTCAGAATGCTTCCGTGTAGTGATGGGAAATTTATCCCGTTTCCAACGAAATCCTCACAGAGGTCCAAATATCCACTTGCGGATTCTACAGAAAGTGTGTTTGGAAACTGCTCCATCTAAAGGAATGTTCAGCTCTGTTAGTTCAATCCAATGATCACTAAGAATTGTCTGTGAATGCTTCCGTTTGGTTTTTAGATGAAGTTATTTCCTTTACTACAGTAGGCCTCAAAGCAGTCCAAATCTCCAATCGCAGATTCTACAAAAAGATTTTTTACAACCTGCTCTATCT
This sequence comes from Homo sapiens, assembly GCF_000001405.40. NCBI lineage: Eukaryota > Metazoa > Chordata > Mammalia > Primates > Hominidae > Homo > Homo sapiens. The sequence continues at coordinate 53,106,485 of NC_000011.10, read as the reverse complement.
ATAGGAATGTTCAACTCTGTGAGTCGAATGCAATCATCACAAAGTAGTTTCTGAGAATGCTTCCATCTAGTTTTTATGTGAAGATTTTCCTTTTCCACCACAGGCCTCAAAGCCCTCCAAATGTCCACTTGCAGATTCTAGAAAAAGAGGGTTTCAGAGCTGCTCTGTCAAGAGGAAAGTTCAATTCTTGAAGTGGAACACAAACATCACAAAGCAGTTTCTGAGAATGTTCCTGTTTAGTTTTTCTGTGAAGATGAACCCGTTTCCAACGAAATCTTCACAGAGGTCCACATATCCACTTGCAGAATCCAAAGAAAGAGAGTTTCAAAACTGCTCCATCAGCAGGATTGTTCACCTCTGTGAGTTGAATGCAGTCATCACAGGAAACATTCTGAGAATGCTTCTGTCTAGGTTTGATGTGAAGATATACCCGTTTCGAAGGAAGGCCACAAAGTGGTCCAAATATCCACTTGCAGATTCTACAAAAAGAGTGTTTGAAAGCTGAACTATGAAAGCAAGGTTCAACTCTGTGAGTTGAATGTAAACATCCAAAGAAGTTTCTCAGAATGCTTCCGTGTAGTTCTGGGAAGTTTATCCCGTTTCCAACGAAATCCTCAGAGAGGTCCAAATATCCACTTGCAGATTCTACAGAAAGTGTGTTTGGAAACTGTTCCATCTACAGGAATGTTCAGCTCTGTTAGTTCAATCCAATGATCACTAAGAATTGTCTGTGAATGCTTCCGTTTGGTTTTTAGATGAAGTTATTTCCTTTACTACAGTAGGCCTCAAAGCAGTCCAAATCTCCAATCGCAGATTCTACAAAAAGATTGTTTACAACCTGCTCTATCTATAGGAATGTTCAACTCTGTGAGTCGAATGCAATCATCACAAAGTAGTTTCTGAGAATGCTTCCATCTAGTTTTTATGTGAAGATTTTCCTTTTCCACCACAGGCCTCAAAGCCCTCCAAATGTCCACTTGCAGATTCTAGAATAAGAGGGTTTCAGAGCTGCTCTGTCAAGAGGAAAGTTCAATTCCTGAAGTGGAACACAAACTTCACAAAGCAGTTTGTGAGAATGATCCTGTTTAGTTTTTCTGTGAAGATGAACCCGTTTCCAACGAAATCTTCAAAGAGGTCCACATATCCACCTGCAGAATCCAAAGAAAGAGAGTTTCAAAACTGCTCCATCAGCAGGATTGTTCACCTCTGTGAGTTGAATGCAGTCATCACAGGAAACATTCTGAGAATGCTTCTGTCTAGGTTTGATGTGAAGATATACCCGTTTCGAAGGAAGGCCACAAAGTGGTCCAAATATCCACTTGCAGATTCTACAAAAAGAGTGTTTGAAAGCTGAACTATGAAAGCAAGGTTCAACTCTGTGAGTTGAATGCAAACATCACAAAGAAGTTTCTCACAATGCTTCCGTGTAGTTCTGGGAAGTTTATCCCGTTTCCAACGAAATCCTCAGAGAGGTCCAAATATCCACTTGCAGATTCTACAGAAAGTGTGTTTGGAAACTGCGCCATCTAAAGGAATGTTCAGCTCTGTTAGTTCAATCCAATAATCACTAAGAATTGTCTGTGAATGCTTCCGTTTGGTTTTTAGATGAAGTTATTTCCTTTACTACAGTAGGCCTCAAAGCAGTCCAAATCTCCAATCGCAGATTCTACAAAAAGATTGTTTACAACCTGATCTATCTATAGGAATGTTCAACTCTGTGAGTCGAATGCAATCATCACAAAGTAGTTTCTGAGAATGCTTCCATCTAGTTTTTATGTGAAGATTTTCCTTTTCCACCACAGGCCTCAAAGCCCTCCAAATGTCCACTTGCAGATTCTAGAATAAGAGGGTTTCAGAGCTGCTCTGTCAAGAGGAAAGTTCAATTCCTGAAGTGGAACACAAACATCACAAAGCAGTTTCTGAGAATGCTTCTGTTTAGTTTTTCTGTGAAGATGAACCCGTTTCCAACGAAATCTTCACAGAGGTCCACATATCCAGCTGCAGAATCCAAAGAAAGAGAGTTTCAAAACTGCTCCATCAGGAGGATTGTTCACCTCTGTGAGTTGAATGCAGTTATCACAGGAAACATTCTGAGAATGCTTCTGTCTAGGTTTGATGTGAAGATATACCCGTTTCGAAGGAAGGCCACAAAGTGGTCCAAATATCCACTTGCAGATTCTACAAAAAGAGTGTTTGAAAACTGAACTATGAAAGCAAGGTTCAACTCTGTGAGTTGAATGCAAACATCACAAAGAAGTTCTCAGAATACTTTCCGTGTAGTTCTGGGAAGTTTATCCCATTTCCAACGAAATCCTCAGAGAGGTCCAAATATCCACTTGCAGATTCTACAGAAAGTGGGTTTGGAAACTGCGCCATCTAAAGCAATGTTCAGCTCTGTTAGTTCAATGCAATGATCACTAAGAATTGTCTGTGAATGCTTCCGTTTGGTTTTTAGATGAAGTTATTTCCTTTACTACAGTAGGCCTCAAAGCAGTCCAAATCTCCAATCGCAGATTCTACAAAAAGATTGTTTACAACCTGCTCTATCTATAGGAATGTTCAACTCTGTGAGTCGAATGCAATCATCACAAAGTAGTTTCTGAGAATGCTTCCATCTAGTTTTTATGTGAAGATTTTCCTTTTCCACCACAGGCCTCAAAGCCCTCCAAATGTCCACTTGCAGATTCTAGAAAAAGAGGGTTTCAGAGCTGCTCTGTCAAGAGGAAAGTTCAATTCTTGAAGTGGAACACAAACATCACAAAGCAGTTTCTGGGAATGCTCCTGTTTAGTTTTTCTGTGAAGATGAACCCGTTTCCAACGAAATCTTCACAGAGTTCCACATATCCACTTGCAGAATCCAAAGAAAGAGAGTTTCAAAACTGCTCCATCAACAGGATTGTTCACCTCTGTGAGTTGAATGCAGTCATCACAGGAAACATTCTGAGAATGCTTCTGTCTAGGTTTGATGTGAAGATATACCCGTTTCGAAGGAAGGCCACAAAGTGGTCCAAATATCCACTTGCAGATTCTACAAAAAGAGTGTTTGAAAGCTGAACTATGAAAGCAAGGTTCAACTCTGTGAGTTGAATGCAAACATCACAAAGAAGTTTCTCAGAATGCTTCCGTGTAGTTCTGGGAAGTTTATCCCGTTTCCAACGAAATCCTCAGAGAAGTCCAAATATCCACTTGCAGATTCTACAGAAAGTGTGTTTGGAAACTGCTCCATCTAAAGGAATGTTCAGCTCTGTTAGTTCAATCCAATGATCACTAAGAATTGTCTGTGAATGCTTCCGTTTGGTTTTTAGATGAAGTTATTTCCTTTACTACAGTAGGCCTCAAAGCAGTCGAAATCTCCAATCACAGATTCTACAAAAAGAATGTTTACAACCTACTCTATCTATACGAATGTTCAACTCTGTGAGTCGAATGCAATCATCACAAAGGAGTTTGTGAGAATGCTTCCATAAAGTTTTTATGTGAAGATTTTCCTTTTCCACCACAGGCCTCAAAGCCCTCCAAATGTCCACTTGCAGATTCTAGAATAAGAGGGTTTCAGAGCTGCTCTGTGAAGAGGAAAGTTCAATTCCTGAAGTGGAACACAAACATCACAAAGCAGTTTCTGAGAATTTTTCTGTTTAGTTTTTCTGTGAAGATGAACCCGTTTCCAACGAAATCTTCACAGAGGTCCACATATCCACTTGCAGAATCCAAAGAAAGAGAGTTTCAAAACTGCTCCATCAGCAGGATTGTTCACCTCTGTGAGTTGAATGCAGTCATCACAGGAAACATTCTGAGAATGCTTCTGTCTAGGTTTGATGTGAAGATATACCCGTTTCGAAGGAAGGCCACAAAGTGGTCCAAATATCCACTTGCAGATTCTACAAAAAGAGTGTTTGAAAGCTGAAGTATGAAAGCAAGGTTCAACTCTGTGAGTTCAATGCAAACATCACAAAGAAGTTTCTCAGAATGCTTCCGTGTAGTTCTGGGAATTTATCCCGTTTCCAACGAAATCCTCAGAGAAGTCCAAATATCCACTTGCAGATTCTACAGAAAGTGGGTTTGGAAACTGCTCCATCTAAAGGAATGTTCAGCTCTGTTAGTTCAATCCAATGATCACTAAGAATTGTCTGTGAATGCTTCCGTTTGGTTTTTAGATGAAGTTATTTCCTTTACTACAGTAGGCCTCAAAGCAGTCCAAATCTCCAATCGCAGATTCTACAAAAAGATTGTTTACAACCTGCTCTATCTATAGGAATGTTCAACTCTGTGAGTCGAATGCAATCATCACAAAGTAGTTTCTGAGAATGCTTCCATCTAGTTTTTATGTGAAGATTTTCCTTTTGCACCACAGGCCTCAAAGCCCTCCAAATGTCCACTTGCAGATTCTAGAAAAAGAGGGTTTCAGAGCTGCTCTGTCAAGAGGAAAGTTCAATTCTTGAAGTGGAACACAAACATCACAAAGCAGTTTCTGAGAATGCTTCTGTTTAGTTTTTCTGTGAAGATGAACCCGTTTCCAACGAAATCTTCACAGAGGTCCACATATCAACTTGCAGAATCCAAAGAAAGAGAGTTTCAAAACTGCTCCATCAACAGGATTGTTCACCTCTGTGAGTTGAATGCAGTCATCACAGGAAACATTCTGAGAATGCTTCTGTCTAGGTTTGATGTGAAGATATACCCGTTTCGAAGGAAGGCCACAAAGTGGTCCAAATATCCACTTGCAGATTCTACAAAAAGAGTGTTTGAAAGCTGAACTATGAAAGCAAGGTTCAACTCTGTGAGTTGAATGCAAACATCACAAAGAAGTTTCTCACAATGCTTCCGTGTAGTTCTGGGAAGTTTATCCCGTTTCCAACGAAATCCTCAGAGAGGTCCAAATATCCACTTGCAGATTTTACAGAAAGTGTGTTTGGAAACTGCGCCATCTAAAGGAATGTTCAGCTACTGTTAGTTCAATGCAATGATCACTAAGAATTGTACTGTGAATGCTTCCGTTTGGTTTTTAGATGAAGTTATTTCCTTTACTACAGTAGGCCTCAAAGCAGTCCAAATCTCCAATCGCAGATTCTACAAAAAGATTGTTTACAACCTGCTCTATCTATAGGAATGTTGAACTCTGTGAGTCGAATGCAATCATCACAAAGTAGTTTCTGAGAATGCTTCCATCTAGTTTTTATGTGAAGATTTTCCTTTTCCACCACAGGCCTCAAAGCCCTCCAAATGTCCACTTGCAGATTCTAGAAAAAGAGGGTTTCAGAGCTGCTCTGTCAAGAGGAAAGTTCAATTCTTGAAGTGGAACACAAACATCACAAAGCAGTTTCTGAGAATGCTTCTGTTTAGTTTTTCTGTGAAGATGAACCCGTTTCCAACGAAATCTTCACAGAGGTCCACATATCCACTTGCAGAATCCAAAGAAAGAGAGTTTCAAAACTGCTCCATCAGCAGGATTGTTCACCTCTGTGAGTTGAATGCAGTCATCACAGGAAACATTCTGAGAATGCTTCTGTCTAGGTTTGATGTGAAGATATACCCGTTTCGAAGGAAGGCCACAAAGTGGTCCAAATATCCACTTGCAGATTCTACAAAAAGAGTGTTTGAAAGCTGAACTATGAAAGCAAGGTTCAACTCTGTGAGTTGAATGCAAACATCACAAAGAAGTTTCTCACAATGCTTCTGTGTAGTTCTGGGAATTTTATCCCGTTTCCAACGAAATCCTCAGAGAGGTCCAAATATCCACTTGCAGATTCTACAGAAAGTGTGTTTGGAAACTGCGCCATCTAAGGGAATGTTCAGCTATGTTAGTTCAATCCAATGATCACTAAGAATTGTCTGTGAATGCTTCCGTTTGGTTTTTAGATGAAGTTATTTCCTTTACTACAGTAGGCCTCAAAGCAGTCCAAATCTCCAATCGCAGATTCTACAAAAAGATTGTTTACAACCTGCTCTATCTATAGGAATGTTCAACTCTGTGAGTCGAATGCAATCATCACAAAGTAGTTTCTGAGAATGCTTCCATCTAGTTTTTATGGGAAGATTTTCCTTTTGCACCACAGGCCTCAAAGCCCTCCAAATGTCCACTTGCAGATTCTAGAAAAAGAGGGTTTCAGAGCTGCTCTGTCAAGAGGAAAGTTCAATTCTTGAAGTGGAAGACAAACATCACAAAGCAGTTTCTGAGAATGCTTCTGTTTAGTTTTTCTGTGAAGATGAACCCGTTTCCAACGAAATCTTCACAGAGGTCCACATATCCACTTGCAGAATCCAAAGAAAGAGAGTTTCAAAACTGCTCCATCAGCAGGATTGTTCACCTCTGTGAGTTGAATGCAGTCATCACAGGAAACATTCTGAGAATGCTTCTGTCTAGGTTTGATGTGAAGATATACCCGTTTCGAAGGAAGGCCGCAAAGTGGTCCAAATATCCACTTGCAGATTCTACAAAAAGAGTGTTTGAAAGCTGAACTATGAAAGCAAGGTTCAACTCTGTGAGTTGAATGCAAACATCACAAAGAAGTTTCTCAGAATGCTTCCGTGTAGTTCTGGGAAGTTTATCCCGTTTCCAACGAAATCCTCAGAGAAGTCCAAATATCCACTTGCAGATTCTACAGAAAGTGTGTTTGGAAACTGCTCCATCTAAAGGAATGTTCAGCTCTGTTAGTTCAATGCAATGATCACTAAGAATTTTCTGTGAATGCTTCCGTTTGGTTTTTAGATGAAGTTATTTCCTTTACTACAATAGGCCTCAAAGCAGTCCAAATCTCCAATCGCAGATTCTACAAAAAGATTGTTTTCAACCTGCTCTATCTATAGGAATGTTCAACTCTGTGAGTCGAATGCAAACATCACAAAGTAGTTTCTGAGAATGCTTCTTCTAGTTTTTATGTGAAGATTTTCCTTTTCCACCACAGGCCTCAAAGCCCTCCAAATGTCCACTTGCAGATTCTAGAAAAAGAGGGTTTCAGAGCTGCTCTGTCAAGAGGAAAGTTCAATTCCTGAAGTGGAACACAAACATCACAAAGCAGTTTCTGAGAATGCTCCTGTTTAGTTTTTCTGTGAAGATGAACCCGTTTCCAACGAAATCTTCACAGAGGTCCACATATCCACATGCAGAATCCAAAGAAAGAGAGTTTCAAAACTGCTCCATCAGCAGGATTGTTCACCTCTGTGAGTTGAATGCAGTCATCACAGGAAACATTCTGAGAATGCTTCTGTCTAGGTTTGATGTGAAGATATACCCGTTTGAAAGGAAGGCCAAATGTGGTCCAAATATCCACTTGCAGATTCTACAAAAAGAGTGTTTGAAAGCTGAACTATGAAAGCAAGGTTCAACACTGTGAGTTGAATGCAAACATCACAAAGAAGTTTCTCACAATTCTTCCGTGTAGTTCTGGGAAGTTTATCCCTTTTCCAACGAAATCCTCAGAGAGGTCCAAATATCCACTTGCAGATTCTACAGAAAGTGTGTTTGGAAACTACGCCATCTAAAGGAATGTTCAGCTCTGTTAGATCAATGCAATGATCACTAAGAATTGTCTGTGAATGCTTCCGTTTGGTTTTTAGATGAAGTTATTTTCTTTACTACAGTAGGCCTCAAAGCAGTCCAAATCTCCAATCGCAGATTCTACAAAAAGATTGTTTACAACCTGCTCTATCTATAGGAATGTTCAACTCTGTGAGTCGAATGCAATCATCACAAAGTAGTTTCTGAGAATGCTTCCATCTAGTTTTTATGTGAAGATTTTCCTTTTCCACCACAGGCCTCAAAACCCTCCAAATGTCCACTTGCAGATTCTAGAATAAGAGGGTTTCAGAGCTGCTCTGTCAAGAGGAAAGTTCAATTCTTGAAGTGGAACACAAATATCACAAAGCAGTTTCTGAGAATGCTCCTGTTTAGTTTTTCTGTGAAGATGAACCCGTTTCCAACGAAATCTTCACAGAGGTCCACATATCCACTTGCAGAATCCAAAGAAAGAGAGTTTCAAAACTGCTCCATCAGCAGGATTGTTCACCTCTGTGAGTTGAATGCAGTCATCACAGGAAACATTCTGAGAATGCTTCTGTCTAGGTTTGATGTGAAGATATACCCGTTTCGAAGGAAGGCCAAAAAGTGGTCCAAATATCCACTTGCAGATTCTACAAAAGGAGTGTTTGAAAGCTGAACTATGAAAGCAAGGTTCAACTTCTGTGAGTTGAATGCAAACATCACAAAGAAGTTTCTCACAATGCTTCCGTGTAGTTCTGGGAAGTTTATCCCTTTTCCAACGAAATCCTCAGAGAGTTCCAAATATCCAGTTGCAGATTCTACAGAAAGTGTGTTTGGAATTTGCTCCATCTAAAGGAATATTCAGCTCTGTTAGTTCAATCCAATGATCACTAAGAATTGTCTGTGAATGCTTCCGTTTGGTTTTTAGATGAAGTTATTTCCTTTACTACAGTAGGCCTCAAAGCAGTCCAAATCTCCAATCGCAGATTCTACAAAAAGATTGTTTACAACCTGCTCTATCTATACGAATGTTCAACTCTGTGAGTCGAATGCAATCATCCCAAAGTAGTTTCTGAGAATGCTTCCATCTAGTTTTTATGTGAAGATTTTCCTTTTCCACCACAGGCCTCAAAGCCCTCCAAATGTCCACTTGCAGATTCTAGAAAAAGAGGGTTTCAGAGCTGCTCTGTAAAGAGGAAAGTTCAATTCTTGAAGTGGAACACAAACATCACAAAATAGTTTCTGAGAATGCTTCTGTTTAGTTTTTCTGTGAAGATGAACCCGTTTCCAACGAAATCTTCACAGAGTTCCACATATCTACTTGCAGAATCCAAAGAAAGAGAGTTTCAAAAGTGCTCCATCAACAGGATTGTTCACCTCTGTGAGTTGAATGCAGTCATCACAGGAAACATTCTGAGAATGCTTCTGTCTAGGTTTGACGTGAACATATACCCGTTTCGAAGGAAGGCCACAAAGTGGTCCAAATATCCACTTGCAGATTCTACAAAAAGAGGGTTTGAAAGCTGAACTATGAAAGCAAGGTTCAACTCTGTGAGTTGAATGCAAACATCACAAAGAAGTTTCTCACAATGCTTCCGTGTAGTTCTGGGAAGTTTATCCCGTTTCCAACGAAATCCTCAGAGAGGTCCAAATATCCACTTGCAGATTCAACAGAAAGTGTGTTTGGAAACTGCGCCACCTAAAGGAATGTTCAACTCTGTTAGTTCAATGCAATGATCACTAAGAATTGTCTGTGAATGCTTCCGTTTGGTTTTTAGATGAAGTTATTTCCTTTACTACAGTAGGCCTCAAAGCAGTCCAAATCTCCAATCGCAGATTCTACAAAAAGATTGTTTTCAACCTGCTCTATCTATAGGAATGTTCAATTCTGTGAGTCGAATGCAATCATCACAAAGTAGTTTCTGAGAATGCTTCCATCTAGTTTTTATGTGAAGATTTTCCTTTTCCACCACAGGCCTCAAAGCCCTCCAAATGTCCACTTGCAGATTCTAGAAAAAGAGGGTTTCAGAGCTGCTCTGTCAAGAGGAAAGTTCAATTCTTGAAGTGGAACACAAACATCACAAAGCAGTTTCTGAGAATGCTTCTGTTTAGTTTTTCTGTGAAGATGAACCCGTTTCCAACGAAATCTTCACAGAGGTCCACATATCCACTTGCAGAATCCAAAGAAAGAGAGTTTCAAAACTGCTCCATCAGCAGGATTGTTCACCTCTGTGAGTTGAATGCAGTCATCACAGGAAACATTCTGAGAATGCTTCTGTCTAGGTTTGATGTGAAGATATACCCGTTTCGAAGGAAGGCCACAAAGTGGTCCAAATATCCACTTGCAGATTCTACAAAAAGAGTGTTTGAAAGCTGAACTATGAAAGCAAGGTTCAACTCTGTGAGTTGAATGCAAACATCACAAAGAAGTTTCTCACGAATGTCCGTGTAGTTCTGGGAAGTTTATCCCGTTTCCAACGAAATCCTCAGAGAAGTCCAAATATCCACTTGCAGATTCTACAGAAAGTGTGTTTGGAAACTGCTCCATCTAAAGGAATGTTCAGCTCTGTTAGTTCAATCCAATGATCACTAAGAATTGTCTGTGAATGCTTCCGTTTGGTTTTTAGATGAAGTTATTTCCTTTACTACAGTAGGCCTCAAAGCAGTCCAAATCTCCAATCGCAGATTCTACAAAAAGATTGTTTACAACCTGCTCTATCTATAGGAATGTTCAACTCTGTGAGTCGAATGCAATCATCACAAAGTAGTTTCTGAGAATGCTTCCATCTAGTTTTTATGTGAAGATTTTCCTTTTCCACCACAGGCCTCAAAGCCCTCCAAATGTCCACTTGCAGATTCTAGAAAAAGAGGGTTTCAGAGCTGCTCTGTCAAGAGGAAAGTTCAATTCTTGAAGTGGAACACAAACATCACAAAGTAGTTTCTGAGAATGCTCCTGTTTAGTTTTTCTGTGAAGATGAACCCGTTTCCAACGAAATCTTCACAGAGGTCCACATATCCACTTGCAGAATCCAAAGAAAGAGAGTTTCAAAACTGCTCCATCAGCAGGATTGTTCACCTCTGTGAGTTGAATGCAGTCATCACAGGAAACATTCTGAGAATGCTTCTGTCTAGGTTTGATGTGAAGATATACCCGTTTCGAAGGAAGGCCACAAAGTGGTCCAAATATCCACTTGCAGATTCTAGAAAAAGAGTGTTTGAAAGCTGAACTATGAAAGCAAGGTTCAACTCTGTGAGTTGAATGCAAACATCACAAAGAAGTTTCTCAGAATGCTTCCGTGTAGTTCTGGGAAGTTTATCCCTTTTCCAAAGAAATCCTCAGAGAGGTCCAAATATCCACTTGCAGATTCTACAGAAAGTGTGTTTGGAAACTGCGCCATCTAAAGGAATGTTCAGCTCTGTTAGTTCAATGCAATGATCACTAAGAATTGTCTGTGAATGCTTCCGTTTGGTTTTTAGATGAAGTTATTTCCTTTACTACAGTAGGCCTCAAAGCAGTCCAAATCTCCAATCGCAGATTCTACAAAAAGATTGTTTATAACCTGCTCTATCTATAGGAATGTTCAACTCTGTGAGTCGAATGCAATCATCACAAAGTAGTTTCTGAGAATGCTTCCATCTAGTTTTTATGTGAAGATTTTCCTTTTCCACCACAGGCCTCAAAGCCCTCCAAATGTCCACTTGCAGATTCTAGAAAAAGAGGGTTTCAGAGCTGCTCTGTCAAGAGGAAAGTTCAATTCCTGAAGTGGAACACAAACATCACAATGCAGTTTCTGAGAATGCTCCTGTTTAGTTTTTCTGTGAAGATGAACCCGTTTCCAACGAAATCTTCACAGAGGTCCACATATCCACTTGCAGAATCCAAAGAAAGAGAGTTTCAAAACTGCTCCATCAGCAGGATTGTTCACCTCTGTGAGTTGAATGCAGTCATCACAGGAAACATTCTGAGAATGCTTCTGTCTAGGTTTGATGTGAAGATATACCCGTTTCGAAGGAAGGCCACAAAGTGGTCCAAATATCCACTTGCAGATTCTACAAAAAGAGTGTTTGAAAGCTGAACAATGAAAGCAAGTTTCAACACTGTGAGTTGAATGCAAACATCACAAAGAAGTTTCTCACAATTCTTCCGTGTAGTTCTGGGAAGTTTATCCCGTTTCCAACGAAATCCTCAGAGAAGTCCAAATATCCACTTGGAGATTCTACAGAAAGTGGGTTTGGAAACTGCTCCATCTAAAGGAATGTTCAGCTCTGTTAGTTCAATGCAATGATCACTAAGAATTGTCTGTGAATGCTTCCGTTTGGTTTTTAGATGAAGTTATTTCCTTTACTACAGTAGGCCTCAAAGCAGTCCAAATCTCCAATCGCAGATTCTACAAAAAGATTGTTTACAACCTGCTCTATGTATAGGAATGTTCAACTCTGTGAGTCGAATGCAATCATCACAAAGTAGTTTCTGAGAATGCTTCCATCTAGTTTTTATGTGAAGATTTTCCTTTTCCACCACAGGCCTCAAAGCCCTCCAAATGTCCACTTGCAGATTCTAGAATAAGAGGGTTTTAGAGCTGCTCTGTCAAGAGGAAAGTTCAATTCCTGAAGTGGAACACAAACATCACAAAGCAGTTTCTGAGAATGCTCCTGTTTAGTTTTTCTGTGAAGATGAACCCGTTTCCAACGAAATCTGCACAGAGGTCCACATATCCACTTGCAGAATCCAAAGAAAGAGAGTTTCAAAACTGCTCCATCAGCAGGATTGTTCACCTCTGTGAGTTGAATGCAGTCATCACAGGAAACATTCTGAGAATGCTTCTGTCTAGGTTTGATGTGAAGATATACCCGTTTCGAAGGAAGGCCAGAAAGTGGTCCAAATATCCACTTGCAGATTCTACAAAAAGAGTGTTTGAAAGCTGAACTATGAAAGCAAGGTTCAACTCTGTGAGTTGAATGCAAACATCACAAAGAAGTTTCTCAGAATGCTTCCGTGTAGTTCTGGGAAGTTTATCCCGTTTCCAACGAAATCCTCAGAGAAGTCCAAATATCCACTTGCAGATTCTACAGAAAGTGTGTTTGGAAAATGCTCCATCTAAAGGAATGTTCAGCTCTGTTAGTTCAATCCAATGATCACTAAGAATTGTCTGTGAATGCTTCCGTTTGGTTTTAAGATGAAGTTATTTCCTTTACTACAGTAGGCCTCAAAGCAGTCCAAATCTCCAATCGCAGATTCTACAAAAAGATTGTTTACAACCTGCTCTATCTATAGGAGTGTTCAACTCTGTGAGTCGAATGCAATCATCACAAAGTAGTTTCTGAGAATGCTTCCATCTAGTTTTTATGTGAAGATTTTCCTTTTCCACCACAGGCCTCAAAGCCCTCCAAATGTCCACTTGCAGATTCTAGAAAAAGAGGGTTTCAGAGCTGCTCTGTCAAGAGGAAAGTTCAATTCTTGAAGTGGAACAGAAACATCACAAAGCAGTTTCTGGGAATGCTCCTGTTTAGTTTTTCTGTGAAGATGAACCCGTTTCCAACGAAATCTTCACAGAGGTCCACATATCCAATTGCAGAATCCAAAGAAAGAGAGTTTCAAAACTGCTCCATCAGAAGGATTGTTCACCTCTGTGAGTTGAATGCAGTCATCACAGGAAACATTCTGAGAATGCTTCTGTCTAGGTTTGATGTGAAGATATGCCCGTTTCGAAGGAAGGCCACAAATTGGTCCAAATATCCACTTGCAGATTCTACAAAAAGAGTGTTTGAAAGCTGAACTATGAAACCAAGGTTCAACTCTGTGAGTTGAATGCAACCATCACAAAGAAGTTTCTTAGAATACTTCCGTGTAGTTCTGGGAAGTTTATCCCGTTTCCAACGAAATCCTCAGAGAGGTCCAAATATCCACTTGCAGATTCTACAGAAAGTGTGTTTGGAAACTGCGCCATCTAAAGCAATGTTCAGCTCTGTTAGTTCAATGCAATGATCACTAAGAATTGTCTGTGAATGCTTCCGTTTGGTTTTTAGATGAAGTTATTTCCTTTACTACAGTAGGCCTCAAAGCAGTCCAAATTTCCAATCGCAGATTCTACAAAAAGATTGTTTACAACCTGCTCTATCTATAGGAATGTTCAACTCTGTGAGTCGAATGCAATCATCACAAAGGAGTTTCTGAGAATGCTTCCATCTAGTATTTATGTGAAGATTTTCCATTTCCACCACAGGCCTCAAAGCCCTCCAAATGTCCACTTGCAGATTCTAGAAAAAGAGGGTTTCAGAGCTGCTCTGTCAAGAGGAAAGTTCAATTCCTGAAGTGGAACACAAATATCACAAAGCAGTTTCTGAGAATGCTCCTGTTTAGTTTTTCTCTGAAGATGAACCCGTTTCCAACGAAATCTTCACAGAGGTCCACATATCCACTTGCAGAATCCAAAGAAAGAGAGTTTCAAAACTGCTCCATCAACAGGATTGTTCATCTCTGTGAGTTCAATGCAGTCATCACAGGAAACATTCTGAGAATGCTTCTGTCTAGGTTTGATGTGAAGATATACCCGTTTCGAAGGAAGGCCACAAAGTGGTCCAAATATCCACTTGCAGATTCTACAAAAAGAGTGTTTGAAAGCTGAACTATGAAAGCAAGGTTCAACTCTGTGAGTTGAATGCAAACATCACAAAGAAGTTTCTCAGAATGCTTCCGTGTAGTTCTGGGAAGTTTATCCCGTTTCCAACGAAATCCTCAGAGAGGTCCAAATATCCACTTGCAGATTCTACAGAAAGTGTGTTTGGAAACTGCGCCATCTAAGGGAATGTTCAGCTCTGTTAGTTCAATCCAATGATCAGTAAGAATTGTCTGTGAATGCTTCCGTTTGGTTTTTAGATGAAGTTATTTCCTTTACTACAGTAGGCCTCAAAGCAGTCCAAATCTCCAATCGCAGATTCTACAAAAAGATTGTTTACAACCTGCTCTATCTATAGGAATGTTCAACTCTGTGAGACGTTGCAATCATCACAAAGTAGTTTCTGAGAATGCTTCCATCTAGTTTTTATGTGAAGATTTTCCTTTTCCACCACAGGCCTCAAAGCCCTCCAAATGTACACTTGCAGATTCTAGAAAAAGAGGGTTTCAGAGCTGCTCTGTCAAGAAGAAAGTTCAATTCTTGAAGTGGAACACAAACATCACAAAGCAGTTTCTGAGAATGCTTCTGTTTAGTTTTTCTGTGAAGATGAACCCGTTTCCAACGAAATCTTCACAGAGGTCCACATATCAACTTGCAGAATCCAAAGAAAGAGAGTTTCAAAAGTGCTCCATCAACAGGATTGTTCACCTCTGTGAGTTGAATGCAGTCATCACAGGAAACATTCTGAGAATGCTTCTGTCTAGGTTTGATGTGAAGATATACCCGTTTCGAAGGAAGGCCACAAAGTGGTCCAAATATCCACTTGCAGATTCTACAAAAAGAGTGTTTGAAAGCTGAACTATGAAAGCAAGGTTCAACTCTGTGAGTTGAATGCAAACATCACAAAGAAGTTTCTCAGAATGCTTCCGTGTAGTTCTGGGAAGTTTATCCCGTTTCCAACGAAATCCTCAGAGAGGTCCAAATATCCAATTGCAGATTCTACAGAAAGTGTGTTTGGAAACTGTGCCATCTAAAGGAATGTTCAGCTCTGTTAGTTCAATCCAATGATCACTAAGAATTGTCTGTGAATGCTTCCGTTTGGTTTTTAGATGAAGTTATTTCCTTTACTACAGTAGGCCTCAAAGCAGTCCAAATCTCCAATCGCAGATTCTACAAAAAGATTGTTTACAACCTGCTCTATCTATAGGAATGTTCAACTCTGTGAGTCGAATGCAATCATCACAAAGTAGTTTCTGAGAATGCTTCCATCTAGTTTTTATGTGAAGATTTTCCTTTTCCACCACAGGCCTCAAAGCCCTCCAAATGTCCACTTGCAGATTCTAGAAAAAGAGGGTTTCAGAGCTGGTCTGTCAAGAGGAAAGTTCAATTCCTGAAGTGGAACACAAACATCACAAAGCAGTTTCTGAGAATGCTCCTGTTTAGTTTTTCTGTGAAGATGAACCCGTTTCCAACGAAATCTTCACAGAGGTCCACATATCCACTTGCAGAATCCAAAGAAAGAGAGTTTCAAAACTGCTCCATCAGCAGGATTGTTCACCTCTGTGAGTTGAATGCAGTCATCACAGGAAACATTCTGAGAATGCTTTCTGTCTAGGTTTGATGTGAAGATATACCCGTTTCGAAGGAAGGCCACAAAGTGGTCCAAATATCCACTTGCAGATTCTACAAAAAGAGTGTTTGAAAGCTGAACTATGAAATCAAGGTTCAACTCTGTGAGTTGAATGCAAACATCACAAAGAAGTTTCTCAGAATGCTTCCGTGTAGTTCTGGGAAGTTTATCCCGTTTCCAACGAAATCCTCAGAGAAGTCCAAATATCCACTTGCAGATTCTACAGAAAGTGGGTTTGGAAACTGCTCCATCTAAAGGAATGTTCAGCTCTGTTAGTTCAATCCAATGATCACTAAGAATTTTCTGTGAATGCTTCCGTTTGGTTTTTAGATGAAGTTATTTCCTTTACTACAGTAGGCCTCAAAGCAGTCCAAATCTCCAATCGCAGATTCTACAAAAAGATTGTTTACAACCTGCTCTATCTATAGGAATGTTCAACTCTGTGAGTCGAATGCAATCATCACAAAGTAGTTTCTGAGAATGCTTCCATCTAGTTTTTATGTGAAGATTTTCCTTTTGCACCACAGGCCTCAAAGCCCTCCAAATGTCCACTTGCAGATTCTAGAAAAAGAGGGTTTCAGAGCTGCTCTGTCAAGAGGAAAGTTCAATTCTTGATGTGGAACACAAACATCACAAAGCAGTTTCTGAGAATGCTCCTGTTTAGTTTTTCTGTGAAGATGAACCCGTTTCCAACGAAATCTTCACAGAGGTCCACATATCCACTTGCAGAATCCAAAGAAAGAGAGTTTCAAAACTGCTCCATCAGCAGGATTGTTCACCTCTGTGAGTTGAATGCAGTCATCACAGGAAACATTCTGAGAATGCTTCTGTCTAGGTTTGATGTGAAGATATACCCGTTTCGAAGGAAGGCCACAAAGTGGTCCAAATATCCACTTGCAGATTCTACAAAAAGAGTGTTTGAAAGCTGAACTATGAAAGCAAGGTTCAACTCTGTGAGTTGAATGCAAACATGACAAAGAAGTTTCTCAGAATGCTTCCGTGTAGTTCTGGGAAGTTTATCCCGTTTCCAACGAAATCCTCAGAGAAGTCCAAATATCCACTTGCAGATTCTACAGAAAGTGTGTTTGGAAACTGATCCATCTAAAGGAATGTTCAGCTCTGTTAGTTCAATCCAATATCACTAAGAATTATCTGTGAATGCTTCCGTTTGGTTTTTAGATGAAGTTATTTCCTTTACTACAGTAGGCCTCAAAGCAGTCCAAATCTCCAATCGCAGATTCTACAAAAAGATTGTTTACAACCTGCTCTATCTATAGGAATGTTCAACTCTGTGAGTCGAATGCAATCATCACAAAGTAGTTTCTGAGAATGCTTCCATCTAGTTTTTATGGGAAGATTTTCCTTTTCCACCACAGGCCTCAAAGCCCTCCAAATGTCCACTTGCAGATTCTAGAAAAAGAGGGTTTCAGAGCTGCTCTGTCAAGAGGAAAGTTCAATTCTTGAAGTGGAACACAAACATCACAAAGCAGTTTCTGAGAATGCTCCTGTTTAGTTTCTCTGTGAAGATGAACCCTTTTCCAACGAAATCTTCACAGAGGTCCACAAATCCACTTGCAGAATCCAAAGAAAGAGAGTTTCAAAACTGCTCCATCAGCAGGATTGTTCACCTCTGTGAGTTGAATGCAGTCATCACAGGAAACATTCTGAGAATGCTTCTGTCTAGGTTTGATGTGAAGATATACCCGTTTCGAAGGAAGGCCACAAAGTGGTCCAAATATCCACTTGCAGATTCTACAAAAAGAGTGTTTGAAAGCTGAACTATGAAAGCAAGGTTCAACTCTGTGAGTTGAATGCAAACATCACAAAGAAGTTTCTCAGCATGCTTCCGTGTAGTTCTGGGAAGTTTAGCCCGTTTCCAACGAAATCCTCAGAGAGGTCCAAATATCCAGTGGCAGATTCTACAGAAAGTGTGTTTGGAAACTGCTCCATCTAAAGGAATGTTCAGCTCTGTTAGTTCAATCCAATGATCACTAAGAATTGTCTGTGAATGCTTCCGTTTGGTTTTTAGATGAAGTTATTTCCTTTACTACATTAGGCCTCAAAGCAGTCCAAATCTCCAATCGCAGATTCTACAAAAAGATTGTTTACAACCTGCTCTATCTATAGGAATGTTCAACTCTGTGAGTCGAATGCAATCATCACAAAGTAGTTTCTGAGAATGCTTCCATCTAGTTTTTATGTGAAGATTTTCCTTTTCCACCACAGGCCTCAAAGCCCTCCAAATGTCCACTTGCAGATTCTAGAAAAAGAGGGTTTCAGAGCTGCTCTGTCAAGAGGAAAGTTCAATTCCTGAAGTGGAACACAAACATCACAAAGCAGTTTCTGAGAAGGCTTCTGTTTAGTTTTTCTGTGAAGATGAACCCGTTTCCAACGAAATCTTCACAGAGGAACACATATTCACTTGCAGAATCCAAAGAAGGAGAGTTTCAAAAGTGCTCCATCAGCAGGATTGTTCACCTCTGTGAGTTGAATGCAGTCATCACAGGAAACATTCTGAGAATGCTTCTGTCTAGGTTTGATGTGAAGATATACCCGTTTCGAAGGAAGGCCACAAAGTGGTCCAAATATCCACTTGCAGATTCTACAAAAAGAGTGTTTGAAAGCTGAACTATGAAAGCAAGGTTCAACTCTGTGAGTTGAATGCAAACATCACAAAGAAGTTTCTCAGAATGCTTCCGTGTAGTTCTGGGAAGTTTATCCCGTTTCCAACGAAATCCTCAGAGAAGTCCAAATATCCACTTGCAGATTCTACAGAAAGTGTGTTTGGAAACTGCTCCATCTAAAGGAATGTTCAGCTCTGTTAGTTCAATCCAATGATCACTAAGAATTGTCTGTGAATGCTTCCGTTTGGTTTTTAGATGAAGTTATTTCCTTTAGTACAGTAGGCCTCAAAGCAGTCCAAATCTCCAATCGCAGATTCTACAAAAAGATTGTTTACAACCTGCTCTCTCTATAGGAATGTTCAACTCTGTGAGTTGAATGCAATCATCACAAAGTAGTTTCTGAGAATGCTTCCATCTAGTTTTTATGTGAAGATTTTCCTTTTCCACCACAGGCCTCAAAGCCCTCCAAATGTCCACTTGCAGATTCTAGAAAAAGAGGGTTTCAGAGCTGCTCTGTCAAGAGGAAAGTTCAATTCTTGAAGAGGAACACAAACATCACGAAGCAGTTTCTGAGAATGCTCCTGTTTAGTTTTTCTGTGAAGATGAACCCGTTTCCAACGAAATCTTCACAGAGGTCCTCATATCCACTTGCAGAATCCAAAGAAAGAGAGTTTCAAAACTGTTCCATCAGCAGGATTGTTCACCTCTGTGAGTTGAATGCAGTCATCACAGGAAACATTCTGAAAATGCTTCTGTCTAGGTTTGATGTGAAGATATACCCGTTTCGAAGGAAGGCCACAAAGTGGTCCAAATATCCACTTGCAGATTCTACAAAAAGAGTGTTTGAAAGCTGAACTATGAAAGCAAGGTTCAACTCTGTGAGTTGAATGCAAACATCACAAAGAAGTTTCTCAGAATGCTTCCGTGTAGTTCTGGGAAGTTTATCCCGTTTCCAACGAAATCCTCAGAGAAGTCCAAATATCCACTTGCAGATTCTACAGAAAGTGTGTTTGGAAACTGCGCCATCTAAAGGAATGTTCAGCTCTGTTAGTTCAATGCAATGATCACTAAGAATTGTCTGTGAATGCTTCCGTTTGGTTTTTAGATTAAGTTATTTCCTTTACTACAGTAGGCCTCAAAGCAGTCCAAATCTCCAATCGCAGATTCTACAAAAAGATTGTTTACAACCTGCTCTATCTATACGAATGTTCAACTCTGTGAGTCGAATGCAATCATCACAAAGTAGTTTCTGAGAATGCTTCCATCTAGTTTTTATGTGAAGATTTTCCTTTTCCACCACAGGCCTCAAAGCCCTCCAAATGTCCACTTGCAGATTCTAGAATAAGAGGGTTTCAGAGCTGCTCTGTCAAGAGGAAAGTTCAATTCCTGAAGTGGAACACAAACATCACAAAGCAGTTTCTGAGAATGCTTCTGTTTAGTTTTTCTGTGAAGATGAACCCGTTTCCAACGAAATCTTCACAGAGGTCCACATATCCACTTGCAGAATCCAAAGAAAGAGAGTTTCAAAACTGCTCCATCAGCAGGATTGTTCACCTCTGTGAGTTGAATGCAGTCATCACAGGAAACATTCTGAGAATGCTTCTGTCTAGGTTTGATGTGAAAATACACCCGTTTCGAAGGAAGGCCACAAAGTGGTCAAAATATCCACTTGCAGATTCTACAAAAAGAGTGTTTGAAAGCTGAACTATGAAAGCAAGGTTCAACTCTGTGAGTTGAATGCAAACATCACAAAGAAGTTTCTCAGAATGCTTCTGTGTAGTTCTGGGAAGTTTATCCCGTTTCCAACGAAATCCTCAGAGAGGTCCAAATATCCACTTGCAGATTCTACAGAAAGTGTGTTTGGAAACTGCGCCATCTAAAGGAATGTTCAGCTCTGTTAGTTCCATGCAATGATCACTAACAATTTTCTGTGAATGCTTCCGTTTGGTTTTTAGATGAAGTTATTTCCTTTACTACAGTAGGCCTCAAAGCAGTCCAAATCTCCAATCGCAGATTCTACAAAAAGATTGTTTACAACCTGCTCTATCTATAGGAATGTTCAACTCTGTGAGTCGAAAGCCATCATCACAAAGTAGTTTCTGAGAATGCTTCCATCTAGTTTTTATGTGAAGATTTTCCTTTTCCACCACAGGCCTCAAAGCCCTCCAAATGTCCACTTGCAGATTCTAGAATAAGAGGGTTTTAGAGCTGCTCTGTCAAGAGGAAAGTTCAATTCCTGAAGTGGAACACAAACATCACAAAGCAGTTTCTGAGAATGCTCCTGTTTAGTTTTTCTGTGAATATGAACCCGTTTGCAACGAAATCTTCACAGAGGTCCACATATCCACTTGCAGAATCCAAAGAAAGAGAGTTTCAAAACTGCTCCATCAGCAGGATTGTTCACCTCTGTGAGTTGAATGCAGTCATCACAGGAAACATTCTGAGAATGCTTCTGTCTAGGTTTGATGTGAAGATATACCCGTTTCGAAGGAAGGCCACAAAGTGGTCCAAATATCCACTTGCAGATTCTACAAAAAGAGTGTTTGAAAGCTGAACTATGAAAGCAAGGTTCAACTGTGTGAGTTGAATGCAAACATCACAAAGAAGTTTCTCACAATGCTTCCGTGTAGTTCTGGGAAGTATATCCCGTTTCCAACGAAATCCTCAGAGAAGTCCAAATATCCACTTGCAGATTCTACAGAAAGTGGGTTTGGAAACTGCTCCATCTAAAGGAATGTTCAGCTCTGTTAGTTCAATCCAATGATCACTAAGAATTGTCTGTGAATGCTTCCGTTTGGTTTTTAGATGAAGTTATTTCCTTTACTACAGTAGGCCTCAAAGCAGTCCAAATCTCCAATCGCAGATTCTACAAAAAGATTGTTTACAACCTGCTCTATCTATAGGAATGTTCAACTCTGTGAGTCGAATGCAATCATCACAAAGTAGTTTCTGAGAATGCTTCCATCTAGTTTTTATGTGAAGATTTTCCTTTTCCACCACAGGCCTCAAAGCCCTCCAAATGTCCACTTGCAGATTCTAGAATAAGAGGGTTTCAGAGCTGCTCTGTCAAGAGGAAAGTTCAATTCCTGAAGTGGAACACAAACATCACAAAGCAGTTTCTGAGAATGCTCCTGTTTAGTTTTTCTGTGAAGATGAACCCGTTTCCAACGAAATCTTCACAGAGGTCCACATATCCACTTGCAGAATCCAAAGAAAGAGAGTTTCAAAACTGCTCCATCAGCAGGATTGTTCACCTCTGTGAGTTGAATGCAGTCATCACAGGAAACATTCTGAGAATGCTTCTGTCTAGGTTTGATGTGAAGATATACCCGTTTCGAAGGAAGGCCACAAAGTGGTCCAAATATCCACTTGCAGATTCCACAAAAAGAGTGTATGAAAGCTGAACTAGGAAAGCAAGGTTCAACTCTGTGAGTTGAATGCAAACATCACAAAGAAGTTTCTCACAATGCTTCCGTGTAGTTCTGGGAAGTTTATCCCGTTTCCAACGAAATCCTCAGAGAGGTCCAAATATCCACTTGCAGATTCTACAGAAAGTGTGTTTGGAAACTGCTCCATCTAAAGGAATGTTCAACTCTGTTAGTTCAATCCAATGATCACTAAGAATTGTCTGTGAATTCTTCCGTTTGGTTTTTAGATGAAGTTATTTCCTTTACTACAGTAGGCCTCAAAGCAGTCCAAATCTCCAATCGCAGATTCTACAAAAAGATTGTTTACAACCTGCTCTATCTATAGGAATGTTCAACTCTGTGAGTCGAATGCAATCATCACAAAGTAGTTTCTGAGAATGCTTCCATCTAGTTTTTATGTGAAGATTTTCCTTTTCCACCACAGGCCTCAAAGCACTCCAAATGTCCACTTGCAGATTCTAGAAAAAGAGGGTTTCAGAGCTGCTCTGTCAAGAGGAAAGTTCAATTCTTGAAGTGGAACACAAACATCACAAAGCAGTTTCTGAGAATGCTCCTGTTTAGTTTTTCTGTGAAGATGAACCCGTTTCCAACGAAATCTTCACAGAGGTCCACATATCCACTTGCAGAATCCAAAGAAAGAGAGTTTCAAAACTGCTCCATCAGAAGGATTGTTCACCTCTGTGAGTTGAATGCAGTCATCACAGGAAACATTCTGAGAATGCTTCTGTCAAGGTTTGATGTGAAGATATACCCGTTTCGAAGGAAGGCCACAAAGTTGTCCAAATATCCACTTGCAGATTCTACAAAAAGAGTGTTTGAAAGCTGACCTATGAAAGCAAGGTTCAACTCTGTGAGTTGAATGCAAACATCACAAAGAAGTTTCTCAGAATGCTTCCGTGTAGTTCTGGGAAGTATAACCCGTTTCCAACGAAATCCTCAGAGAGGTCCAAATATCCACTTGCAGATTCTACAGAAAGTGTGTTTGGAAACTGCTCCATCTAAAGGAATGTTCAGCTCTGTTAGTTCAATCCAATGATCACTAAGAATTGTCTGTGAATGCTTCCGTTTGGTTTTTAGATGAAGTTATTTCCTTTACTACAGTAGGCCTCAAAGCAGTCCAAATCTCCAATCGCAGATTCTACAAAAAGATTGTTTACAACCTGCTCTATCTATAGGAATGTTCAACTCTGTGAGTCGAATGCAATCATCACAAAGTAGTTTGTTAGAAGGCTTCCATCTAGTTTTTATGTGAAGATTTTCCTTTTCCACCACAGGCCTCAAAGCCCTCCAAATGTCCACTTGCAGATTCTAGAAAAAGAGGGTTTCAGAGCTGCTCTGTCAAGAGGAAAGTTCAATTCTTGAAGTGGAACACAAACATCACAAAGCAGTTTCTGAGAATGCTCCTGTTTAGTTTTTCTGTGAAGATGAACCCGTCTCCAACGAAATCTTCAAAGAGGTCCACATATCCACTTGCAGAATCCAAAGAAAGAGAGTTTCAAAACTGCTCCATCAGCAGGATTGTTCACCTCTGTGAGTTGAATGCAGTCATCACAGGAAACATTCTGAGAATGCTTCTGTCCAGGTTTCATGTGAAGATATACCCGTTTCGAAGGAAGGCCACAAAGTGGTCCAAATATCCACTTGCAGATTCTACAAAAAGAGTGTGTGAAAGCTGAACTATGAAAGCAAGGTTCAACTCTGTGAGTTGAATGCAAACATCACAAAGAAGTTTCTCAGAATGCTTCCGTGTAGTTCTGGGAAGTTTATCCCGTTTCCAACGAAATCCTCAGAGAAGTCCAAATATCCACTTGCAGATTCTACAGAAAGAGGGTTTGGAAACTGCTCCATCTAAAGGAATGTTCAGCTCTGTTAGTTCAATCCAATGATCACTAAGAATTGTCTGTGAATGCTTCCGTTTGGTTTTTAAATGAAGTTATTTCCTTTACTACAGTAGGCCTCAAAGCAGTGCAAATCTCCAATCGCAGATTCTACAAAAAGATTGTTTACAACCTGCTCTATCTATAGGAATGTTCAACTCTGTGAGTCGAATGCAATCATCACAAAGTAGTTTCTGAGAATGCTTCCATCTAGTTTTTATATGAAGATTTTCCTTTTCCACCACAGGCCTCAAAGCCCTCCAAATGTCCACTTGCAGATTCTAGAATAAGAGGGTTTCAGAGCTGCTCTGTCAAGAGGAAAGTTCAATTCCTGAAGTGGAACACAAACATCACAAAGCAGTTTCTGAGAATGCTTCTGTTTAGTTTTTCTTTGAAGATGAACCCGTTTCCAACGAAATCTTCACAGAGGTCCACATATCCACTTGCAGAATCCAAAGAAAGGGAGTTTCAAAACTGCTCCATCAGCAGGATTGTTCACCTCTGTGAGTTGAATGCAGTCATCACAGGAAACATTCTGAGAATGCTTCTGTCTAGGTTTGATGTGAAGATATACCCGTTTCGAAGGAAGGCCACAAAGTGGTCCAAATATCCACTTGCAGATTCTACAAAAAGAGTGTTTGAAAGCTGAACTATGAAAGCAAGGTTCAACTCTGTGAGTTGAATGCAAACATCACAAAGAAGTTTCTCACAATGCTTCCGTGTAGTTCTGGGAAGTTTATCCCGTTTCCAACGAAATCCTCAGAGAAGTCCAAATATCCACTTGCAGATTCTACAGAAAGTGTGTTTGGAAAATGCTCCATCTAAAGGAATGTTCAGCTCTGTTAGTTCAATGCAATGATCACTAAGAATTGTCTGTGAATGCTTCCGTTTGGTTTTTAGATGAAGTTATTTCCTTTACTACAGTAGGCCTCAAAGCAGTCCAAATCTCCAATCGCAGATTCTACAAAAAGATTGTTTACAACCTGCTCTATCTATAGGAATGTTCAACTCTGTGAGTCGAATGCAATCATCACAAAGTAGTTTCTGAGAATGCTTCCATCTAGTTTTTATGTGAAGATTTTCCTTTTCCACCACAGGCCTCAAAGCCCTCCAAATGTCCACTTGCAGATTCTAGAATAAGAGGGTTTCAGAGCTGCTCTGTCAAGAGGAAAGTTCAATTCCTGAAGTGGAACACAAACATCACAAAGCAGTTTCTGAGAATGCTCCTGTTTAGTTTTTCTGTGAGGATGAACCCGTTTCCAACGAAATCTTCACAGAGGTCCACATATCCACTTGCAGAATCCAAAGAAAGAGAGTTTCAAAACTGCTCCATCAGCAGGATTGTTCACCTCTGTGAGTTGAATGCAGTCATCACAGGAAACATTCTGAGAATGCTTCTGTCTAGGTTTGATGTGAAGATATACCCTTTTCGAAGGAAGGCCACAAAGTGGTCCAAATATCCACTTGCAGATTCTACAAAAAGAGTGTTTGAAAGCTGAACTATGAAAGCAAGGTGCAAATCCTGTGAGTTGAATGCAAACATCACAAAGAAGTTTCTCAGAATGCTTTCCGTGTAGTTCTGGGAAGTTTATCCCGTTTCCAACGAAATCCTCAGAGAGGTCCAAATATCCACTTGCAGATTCTACAGAAAGTGTGTTTGGAAACTGCTCCATCTAAAGGAATGTTCAGCTCTGTTAGTTCAATCCAATGATCACTAAGAATTGTCTGTGAATGCTTCCGTTTGGTTTTTAGATGAAGTTATTTCCTTTACTACAGTAGGCCTCAAAGCAGTCCAAATCTCCAATCGCAGATTCTACAAAAAGATTGTTTACAACCTGCTCTATCTATAGGAATGTTCAACTCTGTGAGTCGAATGCAATCATCACAAAGTAGTTTCTGAGAATGCTTCCATCTAGTTTTTATGTGAAGATTTTCCTTTTGCACCACAGGCCTCAAAGCCCTCCAAATGTCCACTTGCAGATTCTAGAAAAAGAGGGTTTCAGAGCTGCTCTGTCAAGAGGAAAGTTCAATTCTTGAAGTGGAACACAAACATCACAAAGCAGTTTCTGAGAATGCTTCTGTTTAGTTTTTCTGTGAAGATGAACCCGTTTCCAACGAAATCTTCACAGAGGTCCACATATCCACTTGCAGAATCCAAAGAAAGAGAGTTTCAAAACTGCTCCATCAGCAGGATTGTTCACCTCTGTGAGTTGAATGCAGTCATCACAGGAAACATTCTGAGAATGCTTCTGTCTAGGTTTGATGTGAAGATATACCCGTTTCGAAGGAAGGCCACAAAGTGGTCCAAATATCTACTTGCAGATTCTACGAAAAGAGTGTTTGAAAGCTGAACTATGAAAGCAAGGTTCAACTCTGTGAGTTGAATGCAAACATCACAAAGAAGTTTCTCAGAATACTTCGGTGTAGTTCTGGGAAGTTTATCCCGTTTCCAACGAAATCCTCAGAGAAGTCCAAATATCCACTTGCAGATTCTACAGAAAGTGGGTTTGGCAACTGCTCCCTCTAAAGGAATGTTCAGCTCTGTTAGTTCAATCCAATGATCACTAAGAATTGTCTGTGAATGCTTCCGTTTGGTTTTTAGATGAAGTTATTTCCTTTACCACAGTAGGCCTCAAAGCAGTCCAAATCTCCAATCGCAGATTCTACAAAAAGATTGTTTACAACCTGCTCTATCTATAGGAATGTTCAACTCTGTGAGTCGAATGCAATCATCACAAAGTAGTTTCTGAGAATGCTTCCATCTAGTTTTTATGTGAAGATTTTCCTTTTCCACCACAGGCCTCAAAGCCCTCCAAATGTCCACTTGCAGATTCTAGAAAAAGAGGGTTTCAGAGCTGCTCTGTCAAGAGGAAAGTTCAATTCTTGAAGTGGAACACAAACATCACAAAGCAGTTTCTGAGAATGCTCCTGTTTAGTTTTTCTGTGAAGATGAACCCGTTTCCAACGAAATCTTCACAGAGTTCCACATATCCACTTGCAGAATCCAAACAAAGGGAGATTCAAAACTGCTCCATCAACAGGATTGTTCACCTCTGTGAGTTGAATGCAGTTATCACAGGAAACATTCTGAGAATGCTTCTGTCTAGGTTTGATGTGAAGATATACCCGTTTCGAAGGAAGGCCACAAAGTGGTCCAAATATCCACTTGCAGATTCTACAAAAAGAGTGTTTGAAAGCTGAACTATGAAAGCAAGGTTCAACTCTGTGAGTTGAATGCAAACATCACAAAGAAGTTTCTCAGAATGCTTCCGTGTAGTTCTGGGAAGTTTATCCCGTTTCCAACGAAATCCTCAGAGAGGTCCAAATATCCACTTGCAGATTCTACAGAAAGTGTGTTTGGAAACTGCTCCATCTAAAGGAATGTTCAGCTCTGTTAGTTCAATCCAATGATCACTAAGAATTGTCTGTGAATGCTTCCGTTTGGTTTTTAAATGAAGTTATTTCCTTTACTACAGTAGGCCTCAAAGCAGTCCAAATCTCCAATCTCAGATTCTACAAAAAGATTGTTTACAACCTGCTCTCTCTATAGGAATGTTCAACTCTGTGAGTCGAATGCAATCATCACAAAGTAGTTTCTGAGAATGCTTCCATCTAGTTTTTATGTGAAGATTTTCCTTTTCCACCACAGGACTCAAAGCCCTCCAAATGTCCACTTGCAGATTCTAGAAAAAGAGGGTTTCAGAGCTGCTCTGTCAAGAGGAAAGTTCAATTCCTGAAGTGGAACACAAACATCACAAAACAGTTTCTGAGAATGCTCCTGTTTAGTTTTTCTGTGAAGATGAACCCGTTTCCAACGAAATCTTCACAGAGGTCCACATATCCACTTGCAGAATCCAAAGAAAGAGAGTTTCAAAACTGCTCCATCAGCAGGATTGTTCACCTCTGTGAGTTGAATGCAGTCATCACAGAAACATTCTGAGAATGCTTCTGTCTAGGTTTGATGTGAAGATATACCCGTTTCGAAGGAAGACCACAAAGTGGTCCAAATATCCACTTGCAGATTCTACAAAAAGAGTGTTTGAAAGCTGAACTATGAAAGCAAGGTTCAACTCTGTGAGTTGAATGCAAACATCACAAAGAAGTTTCTCACAATGCTTCCGTGTAGTTCTGGGAAGTTTATCCCGTTTCCAACGAAATCCTCAGAGAAGTCCAAATATCCACTTGCAGATTCTACAGAAAGTGTGTTTGGAAACTGCGCCATCTAAAGGAATGTTCAGCTCTGTTAGTTCAATGCAATGATCACTAAGAATTGTCTGTGAATGCTTCCGTTTGGTTTTTAGATGAAGTTATTTCCTCTACTACAGTAGGCCTCAAAGCAGTCCAAATCTCCAATCGCAGATTCTCCAAAAAGATTGTTTACAACCTGCTCTATCTATAGGAATGTTCAACTCTGTGAGTCGAATGCAATCATCACAAAGTAGTTTCTGAGAATGCTTCCATCTAGTTTTTATGTGAAGATTTTCCTTTTCCACCACAGGCCTCAAAGCCCTCCAAATGTCCACTTGCAGATTCTAGAAAAAGAGGGTTTCAGAGCTGCTCTGTCAAGAGGAAAGTTCAATTCTTGAAGTGGAACACAAACATCACAAAGCAGTTTCTGAGAATGCTTCTGTTTAGTTTTTCTGTGAAAATGAACCCGTTTCCAACGAAATCTGCACAGAGGTCCACATATCCACTTGCAGAATCCAAAGAAAGAGAGATTCAAAACTGCTCCATCAACAGGATTGTTCACCTCTGTGAGTTGAATGCAGTCATCACAGGAAACATTCTGAGAATGCTTCTGTCTAGGTTTGATGTGAAGATATACCCGTTTCGAAGGAAGGCCACAAAGTGGTCCAAATATCCACTTGCAGATTCTACAAAAAGAGTGTTTGAAAGCTGAACTATGAAAGCAAGGTTCAACTCTGTGAGTTGAATGCAAACATCACAAAGAAGTTTCTCAGAATGCTTCCGTGTAGTTCTGGGAAGTTTATCCCGTTTCCAACGAAATCCTCAGAGAGGTCCAAATATCCACTTGCAGATTCTACAGAAAGTGTGTTTGGAAACTGCGCCATCTAAAGCAATGTTCAGCTCTGTTAGTTCAATGCAATGATCACTAAGAATTGTACTGTGAATGCTTCCGTTTGGTTTTTAGATGAAGGTATTTCCTTTACTACAGTAGGCCTCAAAGCAGTCCAAATCTCCAATCGCAGATTCTACAAAAAGATTGTTTACAACCTGCTCTATCTATAGGAATGTTCAACTCTGTGAGTCGAATGCAATCATCACAAAGTAGTTTCTGAGAATGCTTCCATCTAGTTTTTATGTGAAGATTTTCCTTTTCCACCACAGGCATCAAAGCCCTCCAAATGTCCACTTGCAGATTCTAGAAAAAGAGGGTTTCAGAGCTGCTCTGTCAAGAGGAAAGTTCAATTCTTGAAGTGGAACACAAACATCACATAGCAGTTTCTGAGAATGCTTCTGTTTAGTTTTTCTTTGAAGATGAACCCTTTTCCAACGAAATCTTCAAAGAGGTCCACATATCCACTTTCAGATTCCAGAGAAAGAGAGATTCAAAACTGCTCCATCAACAGGATTGTTCACCTCTGTGCGTTGAATGCAGTCATCACAGGAAACATTCTGAGAATGCTTCTGTCTAGGTTTGATGTGAAGATATTCCCGTTTCGAAGGAAGGCCACAAAGTGGTCCAAATATCCACTTGCAGATTCTACAAAAAGAGTGTTTGGAAGCTGAACTATGAAAGCAAGGTTCAAGTCTGTGAGTTGAATGCAACATCACAAAGAAGTTTCTGAGAATGCTTCCGTGTAGTTCTGGGAAGTTTATCCCGTTTCCAACGAAATCCTCAGAGAGGTCCAAACATCCACTTGCAGATTCTACAGAAAGTGTGTTTGGAAACTGTGCCATCTAAAGGAATGTTCAGCTCTGTTAGTTCAATCCAATGATCACTAAGAATTGTCTGTGAATGCTTCCGTTTGGTTTTTAGATGAAGTTATTTCCTTTACTACAGTAGGTCTCAAAACAGTCCAAATATCCAATCGCAGATTCTACAAAAAGATTGTTTACAACCTGCTCTATCTATAGGAATGTTCAACTCTGTGAGTCGAATGCAATCATCACAAAGTAGTTTCTGAGAATGCTTCCATCTAGTTTTTATGTGAAGATTTTCCTTTTCCACCACAGGCCTCAAAGCCCTCCAAATGTCCACTTGCAGATTCTAGAAAAAGAGGGTTTCAGAGCTGCTCTGTCAAGAGGAAAGTTCAATTCCTGAAGTGGAACACAAACATCACAAAGCAGTTTCTGAGAATGCTCCTGTTTACTTTTTCTGTGAAGATGAACCCGTTTCCAACGAAATATTCACAGAGGTCCACATATCCACTTGCAGAATCCAAAGAAAGAGAGTTTCAAAACTGCTCCATCAGCAGGATTGTTCACATTTGTGAGTTGAATGCAGTCATCACAGGAAACATTCTGAGAATGCTTCTGTCTAGGTTTGATGTGAAGATATACCCGTTTCGAAGGTATGCCACAAAGCGGTCCAAATATCCACTTGCAGATTCTACAAAAAGAGTGTTTGAAAGCTGAACTATGAAAGCAAGGTTCAACTCTGTGAGTTGAATGCAAACATCACAAAGAAGTTTCTCACAATGCTTCCGTGTAGTTCTGGGAAGTTTATCCCTTTTCCAACGAAATCCTCAGAGAGGTCCAAATATCCACTTGCAGATTCTACAAAAAGTGTGTTTGGAAACTGCTCCATCTAAAGGAATGTTCAGCTCTGTTAGTTCAATCCAATGATCACTAAGAATTGCCTCTGAATGCTTCCGTTTGGTTTTTAGATGAAGTTATTTCCTTTACTACAGTAGGCCTCAAAGCAGTCCAAATCTCCAATCGCATATTCTACAAAAAGATTGTTTACATCCTGCTCTATCTATAGGAATGTTCAACCCTGTGAGTCGAATGCAATCATCACAAAGTAGTTTCTGAGAATGCTTCCATGTAGTTTTTATGTGAAGATTTTCCTTTTCCACCACAGGCCTCAAAGCCCTCCAAATGTCCACTTGCAGATTCTAGAATAAGAGGGTTTCAGAGCTACTCTGTCAAGAGGAAAGTTCAATTCCTGAAGTGGAACACAAACATCACAAAGCAGTTTCTGAGAATGCTTCTGTTAATTTTTCTGTGAAGATGAACCCGTTTCCAACGAAATCTTCACAGAGGTCCACATATCCACTTGCAGAATCCAAAGAAAGAGAGTTTCAAAACTGCTCCATCAGCAGGATTGTTCACCTCTGTGAGTTGAATGCAGTCATCACAGGAAACATTCTGAGAATGCTTCTGTCTAGGTTTGATGTGAAGATATACCCGTTTCGAAGGAAGGCCTCAAAGTGGTCCAAATATCCACTTGCAGATTCTACATAAAGAGTGTTTGAAAGCTGAACTATGAAAGCAAGGTTCAACTCTGTGAGTTGAATGCAAACATCACAAAGAAGTTTCTCAGAATGCTTCCGTGTAGTTCTGGGAAGCATATCCCTTTTCCATCGAAATCCTCAGAGAAGTCCAAATATCCACTTGCAGATTCTACAGAAAGTGGGTTTGGAAACTGCTCCATCTAAAGGAATGTTCAGCTCTGTTAGTTCAATCCAATGATCACTAAGAATTTTCTGTGAATGCTTCCGTTTGGTTTTTAGATGAAGTTATTTCCTTTACTACAGTAGGCCTCAAAGCAGTCCAAATCTCCAATTGCAGATTCTACAAAAAGATTGTTTACAACCTGCTCTATCTATAGGAATGTTCAACTCTGTGAGTCGAATGCAATCATCACAAAGTAGTTTCTGAGAATGCTTCCATCTAGTTTTTATGTGAAGATTTTCCTTTTCCACCACAGGCCTCAAAGCCCTCCAAATGTCCACTTGCAGATTCTAGAAAAAGAGGGTTTCAGAGCTGCTCTGTCAAGAGGAAAGTTCAATTCTTGAAGTGGAACAGAAACATCACAAAGCAGTTTCTGGGAATGCTTCTGTTTAGTTTTTCTGTGAAGATGAACCCGTTTCCAACGAAATCTTCACAGAGTTCCACATATCAACTTGCAGAATCCAAAGAAAGAGAGTTTCAAAACTCCTCCATCAACAGGATTGTTCACCTCTGTGAGTTGAATGCAGTCATCACAGGAAACATTCTGAGAATGCTTCCGTCTAAGTTTGATGTGAAGATATACCCGTTTCGAAAGAAGGCCACAAAGTGGTCCAAATATCCACTTGCAGATTCTACAAAAAGAGTGTTTGAAAGCTGAACTATGAAAGCAAGGTTCAACTCTGTGAGTTGAATGAAAACATCACAAAGAAGTTTCTCACAATGCTTCCGTGTAGTTCTGGGAAGTTTATCCCGTTTCCAACGAAATCCTCAGAGAAGTCCAAATATCCACTTGCAGATTCTACAGAAAGTGGGTTTGGCAACTGCTCCATCTAAAGGAATGTTCAGCTCTGTTAGTTCAATCCAATGATCACTAAGAATTGTCTGTGAATGCTTCCGTTTGGTTTTTAGATGAAGTTATTTCCTTTACTACAGTAGGCCTCAAAGCAGTCCAAATCTCCAATCGCAGATTCTACAAAAAGATTGTTTACAACCTGCTCTATCTATAGGAATGTTCAACTCTGTGAGTCGAATGCAATCATCACAAAGTAGTTTCTGAGAATGCTTCCATCTAGTTTTTATATGAAGAGTTTCCTTTTCCACCACAGGCCTCAAAGCCCTCCAAATGTCCACTTGCAGATTCTAGAAAAAGAGGGTTTCAGAGCTTCTCTGTCAAGAGGAAAGTTCAATTCTTGAAGTGGAACACAAACATCGCAAAGCAGTTTCTGAGAATGCTCCTGTTTAGTTTTTCTGTGAAGATGAACCCGTTTCCAACGAAATCTTCACAGAGGTCCACATATCCACTTGCAGAATCCAAAGAAAGAGAGTTTCAAAACTGCTCCATCAGCAGGATTGTTCACCTCTGTGAGTTGAATGCAGTCATCACAGGAAACATTCTGAGAATGCTTCTGTCTAGGTTTGATGTGAAGATATACCCGTTTCGAAGGAAGGCCACAAAGTGGTCCAAATATCCACTTGCAGATTCTACAAAAAGAGTGTTTGAAAGCTGAACTATGAAAGCAAGGTTCAACTCTGTGAGTTGAATGCAAACATCACAAAGAAGTTTCTCAGAATGCTTCCGTGTAGTTCTGGGAAGTTTATCCCGTTTCCAACGAAATCCTCACAGAGGTCCAAATATCCACTTGCAGATTCTACAGAAAGTGTGTTTGGAAACTGCTCCATCTAAAGGAATGTTCAGCTCTGTTAGTTCAATGCAATGATCACTAAGAATTGTACTGTGAATGCTTCCGTTTGGTTTTTAGATGAAGTTATTTCCTTTACTACAGTAGGCCTCAAAGCAGTCCAAATCTCCAATCGCAGATTCTACAAAAAGATTGTTTTCAACCTGCTCTATCTATAGGAATGTTCAACTCTGTGAGTCGAATGCAATCATCACAAAGTAGTTTCTGAGAATGATTCATCTAGTTTTTATGTGAAGATTTTCCTTTTCCACCACAGGCCTCAAAGCCCTCCAAATGTCCACTTGCAGATTCTAGAAAAAGAGGGTTTCAGAGCTGCTCTGTCAAGAGGAAAGTTCAATTCTTGAAGTGGAACACAAACATCACAAAGCAGTTTCTGAGAATGCTTCTGTTTAGTTTTTCTGTGAAGATGAACCCGTTTCCAACGAAATCTTCACAGAGGTCCACATATCCAGCTGCAGAATCCAAAGAAAGAGAGTTTCAAAACTGCTCCATCAGCAGGATTGTTCACCTCTGTGAGTTGAATGCAGTCATCACAGGAAACATTCTGAGAATGCTTCTGTCTAGGTTTGATGTGAAGATATACCCGTTTCGAAGGAAGGCCACAAAGTGGTCCAAATATCCACTTGCAGATTCTACAAAAAGAGTGTTTGAAAGCTGAACTGTGAAAGCAAGGTTCAACTCTGTGAGTTGAATGCAAACATCACAAAGAAGTTTCTCACAATGCTTCCGTGTAGTTCTGGGAAGTTTATCCCGTTTCCAACGAAATCCTCAGAGAAGTCCAAATATCCACTTGCAGATTCTACAGAAAGTGTGTTTGGAAACTGCGCCATCTAAAGGAATGTTCAGCTCTGTTAGTTCAATGCAATGATCACTAAGAATTGTCTGTGAATGCTTCCGTTTGGTTTTTAGATGAAGTTATTTCCTTTACTACAGTAGGCCTCAAAGCAATCCAAATCTCCAATCGCAGATTCTACAAAAACATTGTTTACAACCTGCTCTATCTATAGGAATGTTCAACTCTGTGAGTCGAATGCAATCATCACAAAGTAGTTTCTGAGAATGCTTCCATCTAGTTTTTATGTGAAGATTTTCCTTTTCCACCACAGGCCTCAAACCCCTCCAAATGTCCACTTGCAGATTCTAGAAAAAGAGGGTTTCAGAGCTGCTCTGTCAAGAGGAAAGTTCAATTCTTGAAGTGGAACACAAACATCACAAAGCAGTTTCTGAGAATGCTCCTGTTTAGTTTTTCTGTGAAGATGAACCCGTTTCCAACGAAATCTGCACAGAGGTCCACATATCCACTTGCAGAATACAAAGAAAGAGAGTTTCAAAACTGCTCCATCAACAGGATTGTTCACCTCTGTGAGTTGAATGCAGTCATCACAGGAAACATTCTGAGAATGCTTCTGTCTAGGTTTGATGTGAAGATATGCCCGTTTCGAAGGAAGGCCACAAAGTGGTCCAAATATCCACTTGCTGATTCTACAAAAAGAGTGTTTGAAAGCTGAACTATGAAAGCAAGGTTCAACTCTGTGAGTTGAATGCAAACATCACAAAGAAGTTTCTCAGAATGCTTCCGTGTATTTCTGGGAAGTTTATCCCGTTTCCAACGAAATCCTCAGAGAAGTCCAAATATCCACTTGCAGATTCTACAGAAAGTGTGTTTGGAAACTGCTCCATCTAAAGGAATGTTCAGCTCTGTTAGTTCAATCCAATGATCACTAAGAATTGTCTGTGAATGCTTCCGTTTGGTTTTTAGATGAAGTTATTTCCTTTACTACAGTAGGCCTCAAAGCAGTCCAAATCTCCAATCGCAGATTCTACAAAAAGATTGTTTTCAACCTGCTCTATCTATAGGAATGTTCAACTCTGTGAGTCGAATGCAATCATCACAAAGTAGTTTCTGAGAATGCTTCCATCTAGTTTTTATGTGAAGATTTTCCTTTTCCACCACAGGCCTCAAAGCCCTCCAAATGTCCACTTGCAGATTCTATAAAAAGAGGGTTTCAGAGCTGCTCTTTCAAGAGGAAATTTCAATTCCTGAAGTGGAACACAAACATCACAAAGCAGTTTCTGAGAATGCTCCTGTTTAGTTTTTCTGTGAAGATGAACCCTTTTTCAAAGAAATCTTCACAGAGGTCCACATATCCACTTGCAGAATCCAAAGAAAGAGAGTTTCAAAACTGCTCCATCAGCAGGATTGTTCACCTCTGTGAGTTGAATGCAGTCATCACAGGAAACATTCTGAGAATGCTTCTGTCTAGGTTTGATGTGAAGATATACCCGTTTCGAAGGAAGGCCACAAAGTGGTCCAAATATCCACTTGCAGATTCTACAAAAAGAGTGTTTGAAAGCTGAACTATGAAAGCAAGGTTCAACTCTGTGAGTTGAATGCAAACATCACAAAGAAGTTTCTCAGAATGCTTCCGTGTAGTTCTGGGAATTTTAGACCGTTTCCAACGAAATCCTCAGAGAAGTCCAAATATCCACTTGCAGATTCTACAGAAAGTGTGTTTGGAAACTGCTCCATCTAAAGGAATGTTCAGCTCTGTTAGTTCAATCCAATGATCACTAAGAATTGTCTGTGAATGCTTCCGTTTGGTTTTTAGATGAAGTTATTTCCTTTACTACAGTAGGCCTCAAAGCAGTCCAAATCTCCAATCGCAGATTCTACAAAAAGATTGTTTACAACCTGCTCTATCTATAGGAATGTTCAACTCTGTGTGTCGAATGCAATCATCACAAAGTAGTTTCTGAGAATGTTTCCATCTAGTTTTTATGTGAAGATTTTCCTTTTCCACCACAGGCCTCAAAGCCCTCCAAATGTCCACTTGCAGATTCTAGAATAAGAGGGTTTCAGAGCTGCTCTGTCAAGAGGAAAGTTCAATTCCTGAAGTGGAACACAAACATCACAAAGCAGTTTCTGAGAATGCTTCTGTTTAGTTTTTCTGTGAAAATGAACCCGTTTCCAACGAAATCTTCACAGAGGTCCACATATCCACTTGCAGAATCCAAAGAAAGAGAGTTTCAAAACTGCTCCTTCAACAGGATTGTTCACCTCTGTGAGTTGAATGCAGTCATCACAGGAAACATTCTGAGAATGCTTCTGTCTAGGTTTGATGTGAAGATATACCCGTTTCGAAGGAAGGCCACAAAGTGGTCCAAATATCCACTTGCAGTTTCTACAAAAAGAGTGTTTGAAAGCTGAACTATGAAAGCAAGGTTCAACTCTGTGAGTTGAATGCAACATCACAAAGTAGTTTCTGAGAATGCTTCCGTGTAGTTCTGGGAAGTTTATCCCGTTTCCAACGAAATCCTCAGAGAAGTCCAAATATCCACTTGCAGATTCTACAGAAAGTGTGTTTGGAAACTGCTCCATCTAAAGGAATGTTCAGCTCTGTTAGTTCAATCCAATGATCACTAAGAATTGTCTGTGAATGCTTCCGTTTGGTTTTTAGATGAAGTTATTTCCTTTACTACAGTAGGCCTCAAAGCAATCCAAATCTCCAATCGCAGATTCTACAAAAACATTGTTTACAACCTGCTCTATCTATAGGAATGTTCAACTCTGTGAGTCGAATGCAATCATCACAAAGTAGTTTCTGAGAATGCTTCCATCTAGTTTTTATGTGAAGATTTTCCTTTTCCACCACAGGCCTCAAAGCCCTCCAAATGTCCACTTGCAGATTCTAGAAAAAGAGGGGTTCAGAGCTGCTCTGTCAAGAGGAAAGTTCAATTCTTGAAGTGGAACACAAACATCACAAAGTAGTTTCTGAGAATGCTTCTGTTTAGTTTTTCTGTGAAGATGAACCCGTTTCCAACGAAATCTTCACAGAGGTCCACATATCAACTTGCAGAATCCAAAGAGAGAGAGTTTCAAAAGTGCCCCATCAACAGGATTGTTCACCTCTGTGAGTTGAATGCAGTCATCACAGGAAACATTCTGAGAATGCTTCTGTCTAGGTTTGATGTGAAGATATACCCGTTTCGAAGGAAGGCCACAAAGTGGTCCAAGTATCCACTTGCAGATTCCACAAAAAGAGTGTTTGAAAGCTGAACTATGAAAGCAAGGTTCAACTCTGTGAGTTGAATGCAGACATCACAAAGAAGTTTCTCAGAATGCTTCCGTGTAGTTCTGGGAAGTTTATCCCGTTTCCAACGAAATCCTCAGAGAGGTCCAAATATCCACTTGCAGATTCTACAGAAAGTGTGTTTGGAAACTACGCCATCTAAAGGAATGTTCAGCTCTGTTAGATCAATGCAATGATCACTAAGAATTGTCTGTGAATGTTTCCGTTTGGTTTTTAGATGAAGTTATTTCCTGTACTACATTAGGCCTCAAAGCAGTCCAAATCTCCAATAGCAGATTCTACAAAAAGATTGTTTACAACATGCTCTATCTATAGGAATGTTCAACTCTGTGAGTCGAATGCAATCATCACAAAGTAGTTTCTGAGAATGCTTCCATCTAGTTTTTATGTGAAGATTTTCCTTTTCCACCACAGGCCTCAAAGCCCTCCAAATGTCCACTTGCAGATTCTAGAAAAAGAGGGTTTCAGAGCTGCTCTGTCAAGAGGAAAGTTCAACTCTTGAAGTGGAACACAAACATCACAAAGCAGTTTCTGGGAATGCTTCTGTTTAGTTTTTCTGTGAAGATGAACCCGTTTCCAACGAAATCTTCACAGAGGTCCACATATCCACTTGCAGAATACAAAGAAAGAGAGTTTCAAAACTGCTCCATCAACAGGATTGTTCACTTCTGTGAGTTGAATGCAGTCATCACAGGAAACATTCTGAGAATGCTTCTCTCTAGGTTTGATGTGAAGATATACCCGTTTCGAAGGAAGGCCACAAAGTGGTCCAAATATCCACTTGCAGATTCTACAAAAAGAGTGTTTGAAAGCTGAACTATGAAAGGAAGGTTCAACTCTGTGAGTTGAATGCAAACATCACAAAGAAGTTTCTCAGAATGCTTCCGTGTAGTTCTGGGAATTTTATCCCGTTTCCAACGAAATCCTCAGAGAGGTCCAAATATCCACTTGCAGATTCTACAGAAAGTGTGTTTGGAAACTGCGCCATCTAAAGGAATGTTCAGCTCTGTTAGTTCAATCCAATGATCACTAAGAATTGTCTGTGAATGCTTCCGTTTGGTTTTTAGATGAAGTTATTTCCTTTACTACAGTAGGCCTCAAAGCAGTCCAAATCTCCAATCGCAGATTCTACAAAAACATTGTTTACAACCTGCTCTATCTATAGGAATGTTCAACTCTGTGAGTCGAATGTAATCATCACAAAGTAGTTTCTGAGAATGCTTCCATCTAGTTTTTATGGGAAGATTTTCCTTTTCCACCACAGGCCTCAAAGCCCTCCAAATGTCCACTTGCAGATTCTAGAAAAAGAGGGTTTCAGAGCTGCTCTGTCAAGAGGAAAGTTCAATTCTTGAAGTGGAACACAAACATCACAAAGCAGTTTCTGAGAATGCTTCTGTTTAGTTTTTCTGTGAAGATGAACCCGTTTCCAACGAAATCTTCACAGAGGTCCACATATCCACTTGCAGAATCCAAAGAAAGAGAGTTTCAAAACTGCTCCATCAGCAGGATTGTTCACCTCTGTGAGTTGAATGCAGTCATCACAGGAAACATTCTGAGAATGCTTCTGTCTAGGTTTGATGTGAAGATATACCCGTTTCGAAAGAAGGCCACAAAGTGGTCCAAATATCCACTTGCAGATTCTACAAAAAGAGGGTTTGAAAGCTGAACTATGAAAGCAAGGTTCAACTCTGTGAGTTGAATGCAAACATCACAAAGAAGTTTCTCAGAATGCTTCCGTGTAGTTCTGGGAAGTTTATCCCGTTTCCAACGAAATCCTCAGAGAAGTCCAAATATCCACTTGCAGATTCTACAGAAAGTGGGTTTGGAAACTGCTCCATCTAAAGGAATGTTCAGCTCTGTTAGTTCAATGCAATGATCACTAAGAATTGTTCTGTGAATGCTTCCGTTTGGTTTTTAGATGAAGTTATTTCCTTTACTACAGTAGGCCTCAAAGCAGTCCAAATCTCCAATCGCAGATTCTACAAAAACATTGTTTACAACCTGCTCTATCTATAGGAATGTTCAACTCTGTGAGTCGAATGCAATCATCACAAAGTAGTTTCTGAGAATGCTTCCATCTAGTTTTTATGTGAAGATTTTCCTTTTCCACCACAGGCCTCAAAGCCCTCCAAATGTCCACATGCAGATTATAGAATAAGAGGGTTTCAGAGCTGCTCTGTCAAGAGGAAAGTTCAATTCCTGAAGTGGAACACAAACATCACAAAGCAGTTTCTGAGAATGCTCCTGTTTAGTTTTTCTGTGAAGATGAACCCGTTTCCAACGAAATCTTCACAGAGGTCCACATATCCACTTGCAGATTCCAAAGAAAGAGAGTTTCAAAACTGCTCCATCAGCAGGATTGTTCACCTCTGTGAGTTGAATGCAGTCATCACAGGAAACATTCTGAGAATGCTTCTGTCTAGGTTTGATGTGAAGATATACCCGTTTCGAAGGAAGGCCACAAAGTGTCCAAATATCCACTTGCAGATTCTACAAAAAGAGTGTTTGAAAGCTGAACTATGAAAGCAAGGTTCAACTCTGTGAGTTGAATGCAAACATCACAAAGAAGTTTCTCAGAATGCTTCCGTGTAGTTCTGGGAAATTTAGCCCGTTTCCCACGAAATCCTCAGAGAGGTCCAAATATCCACTTGCAGATTCTGCAGAAAGTGTGTTTGGAAACTGCTCCATCTAAAGGAATGTTCAGCTCTGTTAGTTCAATCCAATGATCACTAAGAATTGTCTGTGAATGCTTCCGTTTGGTTTTTAGATGAAGTTATTTCCTTTACTACAGTAGGCCTCAAAGCAGTCCAAATCTCCAATCGCAGATTCTACAAAAACATTGTTTACAACCTGCTCTATCTATAGGAATGTTCAACTCTGTGAGTCGAATGCAATCATCACAAAGTAGTTTCTGAGAATGCTTCCATCTAGTTTTTATGTGAAGATTTTCCTTTTCCACCACAGGCCTCAAAGCCCTCCAAATGTCCACTTGCAGATTCTAGAAAAAGAGGGTTTCAGAGCTGCTCTGTCAAGAGGAAAGTTCAATTCCTGAAGTGGAACACAAACATCACAAAGCAGTTTCTGAGAATGCTTCTGTTTAGTTTTTCTGTGAAGATGAACCCGTTTCCAACGAAATCTTCACAGAGGTCCACATATCCACTTGCAGAATCCAAAGAAAGAGAGTTTCAAAACTGCTCCATCAACAGGATTGTTCACCTCTGTGAGTTCAATGCAGTCATCACAGGAAACATTCTGAGAATGCTTCTGTCTAGGTTTGATGTGAAGATATACCCGTTTCGAAGGAAGGCCACAAAGTGGTCCAAATATCCACTTGCAGATTCCACAAAAAGAGTGTTTGAAAGCTGAACTATGAAAGCAAGGTTCAACTCTGTGAGTTGAATGCAAACATCACAAAGAAGTTTCTCACAATGCTTCCGTGTAGTTCTGGGAAGTTTATCCCGTTTCCAACGAAATCCTCAGAGAAGTCCAAATATCCACTTGCAGATTCTACAGAAAGTGGGTTTGGAAACTGCTCCATCTAAAGGAATGTTCAGCTCTGTTAGTTCAATCCAATGATCACTAAGAATTGTCTGTGAATGCTTCCGTTTGGTTTTTAGATGAAGTTATTTCCTTTACTACAGTAGGCCTCAAAGCAGTCCAAATCTCCAATCGCAGATTCTACAACAAGATTGTTTACAACCTGCTCTATCTATAGGAATGTTCAACTCTGTGAGTCGAATGCAATCATCACAAAGTAGTTTCTGAGAATGCTTCCATCTAGTTTTTATGTGAAGATTTTCCTTTTCCACCACAGGCCTCAAAGCCCTCCAAATGTCCACTTGCAGATTCTAGAAAAAGAGGGTTTCAGAGCTGCTCTGTCAAGAGGAAAGTTCAATTCTTGAAGTGGAACTCAAACATCACAAAGCAGATTCTGAGAATGCTTCTGTTTAGTTTTTCTGTGAAGATGAACCCGTTTCCAACGAAATCTTCACAGAGGTCCACATATCCACTTGCAGAATCCAAAGAAAGAGAGTTTCAAAACTGCTCCATCAGCAGGATTGTTCACCTCTGTGAGTTGAATGCAGTCATCACAGGAAACATTCTGAGAATGCTTCTGTCTAGGTTTGATGTGAAGATATACCCGTTTCGAAGGAAGGCCACAAAGTGGCCCAAATATCCACTTGCAGATTCTACAAAAGGAGTGTTTGAAAGCTGAACTATGAAAGCAAGGTTCAACTCTGTGAGTTGAATGCAAACATCACAAAGAAGTTTCTCACAATGCTTCCGTGTAGTTCTGGGAAATTTATCCCGTTTCCAACGAAATCCTCAGAGAAGTCCAAATATCCACTTGCAGATTCTACAGAAAGTGTGTTTGGAAACTGCTCCATCTAAAGGAATGTTCAGCTCTGTTAGTTCAATGCAATGATCACTAAGAATTGTCTGTGAATGCTTCCGTTTGGTTTTTAGATGAAGTTATTTCCTTTACTACAGTAGGCCTCAAAGCAGTCCAAATCTCCAATCGCAGATTCTACAAAAAGATTGTTTACAACCTGCTCTATCTATAGGAATGTTCAACTCTGTGAGTCGAATGCAATCATCACAAAGTAGTTTCTGAGAATGCTTCCATCTAGTTTTTATGTGAAGATTTTCCTTTTCCACCACAGGCCTCAAAGCCCTCCAAATGTCCACTTGCAGATTCTAGAATAAGAGGGTTTCAGAGCTGCTCTGTCAAGAGGAAAGTTCAATTCCTGAAGTGGAACACAAACATCACAAAGCAGTTTCTGAGAATGCTTCTGTTTAGTTTTTCTGTGAAGATGAACCCGTTTCCAACGAAATCTTCACAGAGGTCCACATATCCACTTGCAGAATCCAAAGAAAGAGAGTTTCAAAACTGCTCCATCAGCAGGATTGTTCACCTCTGTGAGTTGAATGCAGTCATCACAGGAAAACATTCTGAGAATGCTTCTGTCTAGGTTTGATGTGAAGATATACCCGTTTCGAAGGAAGGCCACAAAGTGGTCCAAATATCCACTTGCAGATCCTACAAAAAGAGTGTTTGAAAGCTGAACTATGAAAGCAAGGTGCAACTCTGTGAGTTGAATGCAAACATCACAAAGAAGTTTCTCACAATGCTTCCGTGTAGTTCTGGGAAGTTTAT
Source organism: Homo sapiens (assembly GCF_000001405.40). Lineage (NCBI taxonomy): Eukaryota > Metazoa > Chordata > Mammalia > Primates > Hominidae > Homo > Homo sapiens. The sequence continues at coordinate 53,064,242 of NC_000011.10, read as the reverse complement.
CCCGTTTCCAACGAAATCCTCAGAGAAGTCCAAATATCCACTTGCAGATTCTACAGAAAGTGTGTTTAGAAAATGCTCCATCTAAAGGAATGTTCAGCTCTGTTAGTTCAATCCAATGATCACTAAGAATTGTCTGTGAATGCTTCCGTTTGGTTTTTAGATGAAGTAATTTCCTTTACTACAGTAGGCCTCAAAGCAGTCCAAATCTCCAATCGCAGATTCTACAAAAAGATTGTTTACAACCTGCTCTATCTATAGGAATGTTCAACTCTGTGAGTCGAATGCAATCATCACAAAGAAGTTTCTGAGAATGCTTCCATAAAGTTTTTATGTGAAGATTTTCCTTTCCCACCACAGGCCTCAAAGCCCTCCAAATGTCCACTTGCAGATTCTAGAAAAAGAGGGTTTCAGAGCTGCTCTGTCAAGAGGAAAGTTCAATTCTTGAAGTGGAACACAAACATCACAAAGCAGTTTCTGAGAATGCTCCTGTTTAGTTTTTCTGTGAAGATGAACCCGTTTCCAACGAAATCTTCACAGAGGTCCACATATCCACTTGCAGAATCCAAAGAAAGAGAGTTTCAAAACTGCTCCATCAGCAGGATTGTTCACCTCTGTGAGTTGAATGCAGTCATCACAGGAAACATTCTGAGAATGCTTCTGTCTAGGTTCGATGTGAAGATATACCCGTTTCGAAGGAAGGCCACAAAGTGGTCCAAATATCCACTTGCAGATTCTACAAAAAGAGTGTTTGAAAGCTGAACTATGAAAGCAAGGTTCAACATTGTGAGTTGAAAGCAAACATCACAAAGAAGTTTCTCAGAATACTTCCGTGTAGTTCTGGGAAGTTTATCCCGTTTCTAACGAAATCCTCAGAGAGGTCCAAATATCCACTTGCAGATTCTACAGAAAGTGTGTTTGGAAACTGCGCCATCTAAAGGAATGTTCAGCTCTGTTAGTTCAATGCAATGATCACTAAGAATTGTCTGTGAATGCTTCCGTTTGGTTTTTAGATGAAGTTATTTCCTTTACTACAGTAGGCCTCAAAGCAGTCCAAATCTCCAATCGCAGATTCTACAAAAAGATTGTTTACAACCTGCTCTATCTATAGGAATGTTCAACTCTGTGAGTCGAATGCAATCATCACAAAGTAGTTTCTGAGAATGCTTCCATCTAGTTTTTATGTGAAGATTTTCCTTTTCCATCACAGGCCTCAAAGCCCTCCAAATGTCCACTTGCAGATTCTAGAAAAAGAGGGTTTCAGAGCTGCTCTGTCAAGAGGAAAGTTCAATTCTTGAAGTGGAACACAAACATCACAAAGCAGTTTCTGAGAATGCTCCTGTTTAGTTTTTCTGTGAAGATGAACCCGTTTCCAACGAAATCTTCACAGAGGTCCACATATCCACTTGCAGAATCCAAAGAAAGAGAGTTTCAAAACTGCTCCATCAGAAGGATTATTCACCTCTGTGAGTTGAATGCAGTCATCACAGGAAACATTCTGAGAATGCTTCTGTCTAGGTTTGATGTGAAGATATACCCGTTTCGAAGGAAGGCCACAAAGTGGTCCAAATATCCACTTGCAGATTCTACAAAAAGAGTGTTTGAAAGCTGAACTATGAAAGCAAGGTTCAACTCTGTGAGTTGAATGCAAACATCACAAAGAAGTTTCTCAGAATGCTTCCGTGTAGTTCTGGGAATTTTATCCCGTTTCCAACGAAATCCTCAGAGAGGTCCAAATATCCACTTGCGGATTCTACAGAAAGTGTGTTTGGAAACTGCTCCATCTAAAGGAATGTTCAGCTCTGTTAGTTCAATGCAATGATCACTAAGAATTGTCTGTGAATGCTTCCGTTTGGTTTTTAGATGAAGTTATTTCCTTTACTACAGTAGGCCTCAAAGCAGTCCAAATCTCCAATCGCAGATTCTACAAAAAGATTGTTTACAACCTGCTCTATCTATAGGAATGTTCAACTCTTTGAGTCGAATGCAATCATCACAAAGTAGTTTCTGAGAATGCTTCCATCTGGTTTTTATGTGCAGATTTTCCTTTTCCACCACAGGCCTCAAAGCCCTCCAAATGTCCACTTGCAGATTCTAGAATAAGAGGGTTTCAGAGCTGCTCTGTCAAGAGGAAAGTTCAATACCTGAAGTGGAACACAAACATCACAAAGCAGTTTCTGAGAATGCTCCTGTTTAGTTTTTCTGTGAAGATGAACCCGTTTCCAACGAAATCTTCGCAGAGGTCCATATATCCACTTGCAGAATCCAAAGAAAGAGAGTTTCAAAACTGCTCCATCAGCAGGATTGTTCACCTCTGTGAGTTGAATGCAGTCATCACAGGAAACATTCTGAGAATGCTTCTGTCTAGGTTTGATGTGAAGATATACCCGTTTCGAAGGAAGGCCACAAAGTGGTCCAAATATCCACTTGCAGATTCCACAAAAAGAGTGTTTGAAAGCTGAACTATGAAAGCAAGGTTCAACTCTGTGAGTTGAATGCAAACATCACAAAGAAGTTTCTCAGCATGCTTCCGTGTAGTTCTGGGAAGTTTATCCCGTTTCCAACGAAATCCTCAGAGAAGTCCAAATATCCACTTGCAGATTCTACAGAAAGTGTGTTTGGAAAATGCTCCATCTAAAGGAATGTTCAGCTCTGTTAGTTCAATCCAATGATCACTAAGAATTGTCTGTGAATGCTTCCGTTTGGTTTTTAGATGAAGTTATTTCCTTTACTACAGTAGGCCTCAAAGCAGTCCAAATCTCCAATCGCAGATTCTACAAAAAGATTGTTTACAACCTGCTCTATCTATAGGAATGTTCAACTCTGTGAGTCGAATGCAATCATCACAAAGTAGTTTCTGAGAATGCTTCCATCTAGTTTTTATGTGAAGATTTTCCTTTTCCACCACAGGCCTCAAAGCCCTCCAAATGTCCACTTGCAGATTCTAGAAAAAGAGGGTTTCAGAGCTGCTCTGTCAAGAGGAAAGTTCAATTCTTGAAGTGGAACACAAACATCACAAAGCAGTTTCTGAGAATGTTCCTGTTTAGTTTTTCTGTGAAGATGAACCCGTTTCCAACGAAATCTTCACAGAGGTCCACATATCCACTTGCAGAATCCAAAGAAAGAGAGTTTCAAAACTGCTCCATCAACAGGATTGTTCACCTCTGTGAGTTGAATGCAGTCATCACAGGAAACATTCTGAGAATGCTTCTGTCTAGGTTTGATGTGAAGATATACCCGTTTCGAAGGAAGGCCACAAAGTGGTCCAAATATCCACTTGCAGATTCTACAAAAAGAGTGTTTGAAAGCTGAACTATGAAAGCAAGGTTCAACTCTGTGAGTTGAATGCAAACATCACAAAGAAGTTTCTCAGAATACTTCCGTGTAGTTCTGGGAAGTTTATCCCGTTTCCAACGAAATCCTCAGAGAAGTCCAAATATCCACTTGCAGATTCTACAGAAAGTGTGTTTGGAAACTGCTCCATCTAAAGGAATGTTCAGCTCTGTTAGCTCAATGCAATGATCACTAAGAATTGTCTGTGAATGCTTCCGTTTGGTTTTTAGATGAAGTTATTTCCTTTAGTACAGTAGGCCTCAAAGCAGTCCAAATCTCTAATCGCAGATTCTACAAAAAGATTGTTTACAACCTGCTCTCCCTATAGGAATGTTGAACTCTGTGAGTCGAATGCAATCATCACAAAGTAGTTTCTGAGAATGCTTCCATCTAGTTTTTATGTGAAGATTTTCCTTTTCCACCACAGGCCTCAAAGCCCTCCAAATGTCCACCTGCAGATTCCAGAAAAAGAGGGTTTCAGAGCTGCTCTGTCAAGAGGAAAGTTCAATTCTTGAAGTGGAACACAAACATCACAAAGCAGTTTCTGAGAATGATTCTGTTTAGTTTTTCTGTGAAGATGAACCCGTTTCCAACGAAATCTTCACAGAGGTCCACATATCCACTTGCAGAATCCAAAGAAAGAGAGTTTCAAAACTGCTCCATCAGCAGGATTGTTCACCTCTGTGAGTTGAATGCAGTCATCACAGGAAACATTCTGAGAATGCTTCTGTCTAGGTTTGATGTGAAGATATACCCGTTTCGAAGGAAGGCCACAAAGTGGTCCAAATATCCACTTGCAGATTCTACAAAAAGAGTGTTTGAAAGCTGAACTATGAAAGCAAGGTTCAACTCTGTGAGTTGAATGCAAACATCACAAAGAAGTTTCTCAGAATGCTTCCGTGTAGTTCTGGGAAGTTTATCCCGTTTCCAACGAAATCCTCAGAGAAGTCCAAATATCCACTTGCAGATTCTACAGAAAGTGTGTTTGGAAACTGCTCCATCTAAAGGAATGTTCAGCTCTGTTAGTTCAATCCAATGATCACTAAGAATTGTCTGTGAATGCTTCCGTTTGGTTTTTAGATGACGTTATTTCCTTTACTACAGTAGGCCTCAAAGCAGTCCAAATCTGCAATCGCAGATTCTACAAAAAGATTGTTTACAACCTGCTCTATCTATAGGAATGTTCAACTCTGTGAGTCGAATGCAATCATCACAAAGTAGTTTCTGAGAATGCTTCCATCTAGTTTTTATGTGAAGATTTTCCTTTTCCACCACAGGCCTCAAAGCCCTCCAAATGTCCACTTGCAGATTCTAGAATAAGAGGGTTTCAGAGCTGCTCTGTCAAGAGGAAAGTTCAATTCCTGAAGTGGAACACAAACATCACAAAGCAGTTTCTGAGAATGCTTCTGTTTAGTTTTTCTGTGAAGATGAACCCGTTTCCAACGAAACCTTCACAGAGGTCCACATATCCACTTTCAGAATCCAAAGAAGGAGAGTTTCAAAACTGCTCCATCAGCAGGATTGTTCACCTCTGTGAGTTGAATGCAGTCATCACAGGAAACATTCTGAGAATGCTTCTGTCTAGGTTTGATGTGAAGATATACCCGTTTCGAAGGAAGGCCACAAAGTGGTCCAAATATCCACTTGCAGATTCTACAAAAAGAGTATTTGAAAGCTGAACTATGAAAGCAAGGTTCAACTCTGTGAGTTGAATGCAAACATCACAAAGAAGTTTCTCACAATGCTTCCGTGTAGTTCTGGGAAGTTTATCCCGTTTCCAACGAAATCCTCAGAGAAGTCCAAATATCCACTTGCAGATTCTACAGAAAGTGGGTTTGGAAACTGCTCCATCTAAAGGAATGTTCAGCTCTGTTAGTTCAATCCAATGATCACTAAGAATTGTCTGTGAATGCTTCCGTTTGGTTTTTAGATGAAGTTATTTCCTTTACTACAGTAGGCCTCAAAGCAGTCCAAATCTCCAATCGCAGATTCTACAAAAAGATTGTTTACAACCTGCTCTATCTATAGGAATGTTCAACTCTGTGAGTCGAATGCAATCATCACAAAGTAGTTTCTGAGAATGCTTCCATCTAGTTTTTATGTGAAGATTTTCCTTTTCCACCACAGGCCTCAAAGCCCTCCAAATGTCCACTTGCAGATTCTAGAATAAGAGGGTTTCAGAGCTGCTCGGTCAAGAGGAAAGTTCAATTCTTGAAGTGGAACACAAACATCACAAAGCAGTTTCTGAGAATGCTCCTGTTAATTTTTCTGTGAAGATGAACCCGTTTCCAACGAAATCTTCACAGAGGTCCACATATCCACTTGCAGAATCAAAAGAAAGGGAGTTTCAAAACGGCTCCATCAACAGGATTGTTCACCTCTGTGAGTTGAATGCAGTCATCACAGGAAACATTCTGAGAATGCTTCTGTCTAGGTTTCATGTGAAGATATACCCGTTTCGAAGGAAGGCCACAAAGTGGTCCAAATATCCACTTGCAGATTCTACAAAAAGAGTGTTTGAAAGCTGAACTATGAAAGCAAGGTTCAACTCTGTGAGTTGAATGCAAACATCACAAAGAAGTTTCTCAGAATGCTTCCGTGTAGTTCTGGGAAGTTTATCCCGTTTCCATCGAAATCCTCAGAGAGGTCCAAATATCCACTTGCAGATTCTACAGAAAGTGTGTTTGGAAACTGCGCCATCTAAAGGAATGTTCAGCTCTGTTAGTTCAATGCAATGATCACTAAGAATTGTCTGTGAATGCTTCCGTTTGGTTTTTAGATGAAGTTATTTCCTTTACTACAGTAGGCCTCAAAGCAGTCCAAATCTCCAATCGCAGATTCTACAAAAAGATTGTTTACAACCTGCTCTATCTATAGGAATGTTCAACTCTGTGAGTCGAATGCAATCATCACAAAGTAGTTTCTGAGAATGCTTCCATCTAGTTTTTATGTGAAGATTTTCCTTTTCCACCACAGGCCTCAAAGCCCTCCAAATGTCCACTTGCAGATTCTAGAAAAAGAGGGTTTCAGAGCTGCTCTGTCAAGAGGAAAGTTGAATTCTTGAAGTGGAACACAAACATCACAAAGTAGTTTCTGAGAATGCTTCTGTTTAGTTTTTCTGTGAAGATGAACCCGTTTCCAACGAAATCTTCACAGTGGTCCACATATCAACTTGCAGAATCCAAAGAAAGAGAGTTTCAAAACTGCTCCATCAACAGGATTGTTCACCTCTGTGAGTTGAATGCAGTCATCACAGGAAACATTCTGAGAATGCTTCTGTCTAGGTTTGATGTGAAGATATACCCGTTTCGAAGGAAGGCCCCAAAGTGGTCCAAATATCCACTTGCAGATTCTACAAAAAGAGTGTTTGAAAGCTGAACTATGAAAGCAAGGTTCAACTCTGTGAGTTGAATGCAAACATCACAAAGAAGGTTCTCAGAATTCTTCCGTGTAGTTCTGGGAAGTTTAGCCCGTTTCCAACGGAATCCTCAGAGAAGTCCAAATATCCACTTGCAGATTCTACAGAAAGTGGGTTTGGAAACTGCTCCATCTAAAGGAATGTTCAGCTCTGTTAGTTCAATCCAATGATCACTAAGAATTGTCTGTGAATGCTTCCGTTTGGTTTTTAGATGAAGTTATTTCCTTTACTACAGTAGGCCTCAAAGCAGTCCAAATCTCCAATCGCAGATTCTACAAAAAGATTGTTTACAACCTGCTCTATCTATAGGAATGTTCAACTCTGTGAGTCGAATGCAATCATCACAAAGTAGTTTCTGAGAATGCTTCCATCTAGATTTATGTGAAGATTTTCCTTTTCCACCACAGACCTCAAAGCCCTCCAAATGTCCACTTGCAGATTCTAGAAAAAGAGGGTTTCAGAACTGCTCTATCAAGAGGAAAGTTCAGTTCCTGAAGTGGAACACAAACATCACAAAGCAGTTTCTGAGAATGCTTCTGTTTAGTTTTTCTGTGAAGATGAACCCGTTTCCAACGAAATCTTCACAGAGGTCTATATATCCACTTGCAGAATCCAAAGAAAGAGAGTTTCAAAACTGCTCCATCAACAGGATTGTTCACCTCTCTGAGTTGAATGCAGTCATCACAGGAAAACATTCTGAGAATGCTTCTGTCTAGGTTTGATGTGAAGATATACCCTTTTCAAAGGAAGGCCACAAAGTGGTCCAAATATCCACTTGCAGATTCTACAAAAAGAGTGTTTGAAAGCTGAACTATGAAAGCAAGGTTCAACTCTGTGAGTTGAATGCAAACATCACAAAGAAGTTTCTCACAATGCTTCCGTGTAGTTCTGGGAAGTTTTCCCGTTTCCAACGAAATCCTCAGAGAAGTCCAAATATCCACTTGCAGATTCTACAGAAAGTGTGTTTGGAAACTGCTCCATCTAAAGGAATGTTCAGCTCTGTTAGTTCAATCCAATGATCACTAAGAATTGTCTGTGAATGCTTCCGTTTGGTTTTTAGATGAAGTTATTTCCTTTACTACAGTAGGCCTCAAAGCAGTCCAAATCTCCAATCGCTGATTCTACAAAAAGATTGTTTACAACCTGCTCTACCTATAGGAATGTTCAACTCTGTGAGTCGAATGCAATCATCACAAAGTAGTTTCTGAGAATGCTTCCATCTAGTTTTTATGTGAAGATTTTCCTTTTCCACCACAGGCCTCAAAGCCCTCCAAATGTCCACTTGCAGATTCTAGAAAAAGAGGGTTTCAGAGCTGCTCTGTCAAGAGGAAAGTTCAATTCTTGAAGTGGAACACAAACATCACAAAGCAGTTTCTGAGAATGCTCCTGTTTAGTTTTTCTGTGAAGATGAACCCGTTTCCAACGAAATCTTCAAAGAGGTTCACATATCCACTTGCAGAATCCAAAGAAAGAGAGTTTCAAAACTGCTCCATCAGCAGGATTGTTCACCTCTGTGAGTTGAATGCAGTCATCACAGGAAACATTCTGAGAATGCTTCTGTCTAGGTTTGATGTGAAGATATACCCGTTTCGAAGGAAGGCCACAAAGTGGTCCAAATATCCACTTGCAGATTCTACAAAAAGAGTGTTTGAAAGATGAACTATGAAAGCAAGGTTCAACTCTGTGAGTTGAATGCAAACATCACAAAGAAGTTTCTCAGAATGCTTCCGTGTAGTTCTGGGAAGTTTATCCCGCTTCCAACGAAATCCTCAGAGAAGTCCAAATATCCACTTGCAGATTCTACAGAAAGTGTGTTTGGAAACTGCGCCATCTAAAGGAATGTTCAGTTCTGTTAGTTCAATGCAATGATCACTAAGAATTGTCTGTGAATGCTTCCGTTTGGTTTTTAGATGAAGTTATTTCCTTTACTACAGTAGGCCTCAAAGCAGTCCAAATCTCCAATCGCAGATTCTACAAAAAGATTGTTTACAACCTGCTCTATCTATAGGAATGTTCAACTCTGTGAGTCGAATGCAATCATCACAAAGTAGTTTCTGAGAATGCTTCCATCTAGTTTTTATGTGAAGATTTTCCTTTTCCACCACAGGCCTCAAAGCCCTCCAAATGTCCACTTGCAGATTCTAGAAAAAGAGGGTTTCAGAGCTGCTCTGTCAAGAGGAAAGTTCAATTCTTGAAGTGGAACACAAACATCACAAAGCAGTTTCTGAGAATGCTCCTGTTTAGTTTTTCTGTGAAGATGAACCCGTTTCCAACGAAATCTTCACAGAGGTCCACATATCCACTTGCAGAATCCAAAGAAAGAGAGTTTCAAAACTGGTCCATCAGCAGGATTGTTCACCTCTGTGAGTTGAATGCAGTCATCACAGGAAACATTCTGAGAATGCTTCTGTCTAGGTTTGATGTGAAGATATACCCGTTTCGAAGGAAGGCCACAAAGTGGTCCAAATATCCACTTTCTGTAGATTCTACAAAAAGAGTGTTTGAAAGCTGAACTATGAAAGCAAGGTTCAACTCTGTGAGTTGAATGCAAACATCACAAAGAAGTTTCTCAGAATGCTTTCCGTGTAGTTCTGGGAAGTTTATCCCGTTTCCAACGAAATCCTCAGAGAGGTCCAAATATCCACTTGCAGATTCTACAGAAAGTGTGTTTGGAAAATGCTCCATCTAAAGGAATGTTCAGCTCTGTTAGTTCAATGCAATGATCACTAAGAATTGTCTGTGAATGCTTCCATTTGGTTTTTAGATGAAGTTATTTCCTTTACTACAGTAGGCCTCAAAGCAGTCCAAATCTCCAATCGCAGATTCTACAAAAAGATTGTTTACAACCTGCTCTATCTATAGGAATGTTCAACTCTGTGAGTCGAATGCAATCATCACAAAGTAGTTCCTGAGAATGCTTCCATCTAGTTTTTATGTGAAGATTTTCCTTTTCCACCACAGGCCTCAAAGCCCTCCAAATGTCCACTTGCAGATTCTAGAATAAGAGGTTTTCAGAGCTGCTCTGTCAAGAGGAAAGTTCAATTCCTGAAGTGGAACGAAAACATCACAAAGCAGTTTCTGAGAATGCTTCTGTTTAGTTTTTCTGTGAAGATGAACCCGTTTCCAACGAAATCTTCACAGAGGTCCACATATCCACTTGCAGAATCCAAAGAAAGAGAATTTCAAAACTGCTCCATCAGCAGGATTGTTCACCTCTGTGAGTTGAATGCAGTCATCACAGGAAACATTCTGAGAATGCTTCTGTCTAGGTTTGATGTGAAGATATACCCGTTTCGAAGGAAGGCCACAAAGTGGTCCAAATATCCACTTGCAGATTCTACAAAAAGAGTGTTTGAAAGCTGAACTATGAAAGCAAGGTTCAACTCTGTGAGTTGAATGCAAACATCACAAAGAAGTTTCTCACAATGCTTCCGTATAGTTCTGGGAAGTTTATCCCGTTTCCAACGAAATCCTCAGAGAAGTCCAAATATCCACTTGCAGATTCTACAGAAAGTGGGTTTGGAAACTGCTCCATCTAAAGGAATGTTCAGCTCTGTTAGTTCAATCCAATGATCACTAAGAATTGTCTGTGAATGCTTCCGTTTGGTTTTTAGATGAAGTTATTTCCTTTACTACAGTAGGCCTCAAAGCAGTCCAAATCTCCAATCGCAGATTCTACAAAAAGTTTGTTTACAACCTGCTCTATCTATAGGAATGTTCAACTCTGTGAGTCGAATGCAATCATCACAAAGTAGTTTCTGAGAATGCTTCCATCTAGTTTTTATGTGAAGAGTTTCCTTTTCCACCACAGGCCTCAAAGCCCTCCAAATGTTCACTTGCAGATTCTAGAAAAAGAGGGTTTCAGAGCTACTCTGTCAAGAGGAAAGTTCAATTCCTGAAGTGGAACACAAACATCACAAAGCAGTTTCTGAGAATGCTTCTGTTTAGTTTTTCTGTGAAGATCAACCCGTTTCCAACGAAATCTTCACAGAGGTCCACATATCCACTTGCAGAATCCAAAGAAAGAGAGTTTCAAAACTGCTCCATCAGCAGGATTGTTCACCTCTGTGAGTTGAATGCAGTCATCACAGGAAACATTCTGAGAATGCTTCTGTCAAGGTTTGATGTGAAGATATACCCGTTTCGAAGGAAGGCCACAAATTGGTCCAAATATCCACTTGCAGATTCTACAAAAAGAGAGTTTGAAAGCTGAACTATGAAAGCAAGGTTCAACTCTGTGAGTTGAATGCAACCATCACAAAGAAGTTTCTCAGAATGCTTCCGTGTAGTTCTGGGAAGTTTATCCCGTTTCCAACGAAATCCTCAGAGAGGTCCAAATATCCACTTGCAGATTCTACAGAAAGTGTGTTTGGAAACTGCGCCATCTAAAGGAATGTTCAGCTCTGTTAGTTCAATCCAATGATCACTAAGAATTGTCTGTGAATGCTTCCGTTTGGTTTTTAGATGAAGTTATTTCCTTTACTACAGTAGGCCTCAAAGCAGTCCAAATCTCCAATCGCAGATTCTACAAAAAGATTGTTTACAACCTGCTCTATCTACAGGAATGTTCAACTCTGTGAGTCGAATGCAATCATCACAAAGTAGTTTCTGAGAATGCTTCCATCTAGTTTTTATGTGAATATTTTCCTTTTCCACCACAGGCCTCAAAGCCCTCCAAATGTCCACTTGCAGATTCTAGAATAAGAGGGTTTCAGAGCTGCTCTGTCAAGAGGAAAGTTCAATTCCTGAAGTGGAACACAAACATCACAAAGCAGTTTCTGAGAATGCTTCTGTTTAGTTTTTCTGTGAAGATGAACCCGTTTCCAACGAAATCTTCACAGAGGTCCACATATCCACTTGCAGAATCCAAAGAAAGAGAGTTTCAAAACTGCTCCATCAACAGGATTGTTCACCTCTGTGAGTTGAATGCAGTCATCACAGGAAACATTCTGAGAATGCTTCTGTCTAGGTTTGATGTGAAGATATACCCGTTTCGAAGGAAGGCCACAAAGTGGTCCAAATATCCACTTGCAGATTCTACAAAAAGAGTGTTTGAAAGCTGAACAATGAAAGCAAGGTTCAACTCTGTGAGTTGAATGCAAACATCACAAAGAAGTTTTTCAGAATGCTTCCGTGTAGTTCTGGGAAGTTTATCCCGTTTCCAACGAAATCCTCAGAGAAGTCCAAATATCCACTTGCAGATTCTACAGAAAGTGTGTTTGGAAACTGCTCCATCTAAAGGAATGTTCAGCTCTGTTAGTTCAATGCAATGATCACTAAGAATTGTCTGTGAATGCTTCCGTTTGGTTTTTAGATGAAGTTATTTCCTTTACTACAGTAGGCCTCAAAGCAGTCGAAATCTCCAATCGCAGATTCTACAAAAAGATTGTTTAAAACCTGCTCTATCTATAGGAATGTTCAACTCTGTGAGTCGAATGCAATCATCACAAAGTAGTTTCTGAGAATGCTTCCATCTAGTTTTTATGTGAAGATTTTCCTTTTCCACCACAGGCCTCAAAGCCCTCCAAATGTCCACTTGCAGATTCTAGAAAAAGAGGGTTTCAGAGCTGCACTGTCAAGAGGAAAGTTCAATTCTTGATGTGGAACACAAACATCACAACGCAGTTTCTGAGAATTCTCCTGTTTAGTTTTTCTGTGAAGATGAACCCGTTTCCAACGAAATCTTCACAGAGGTCCACATATCCACTTGCAGAATCCAAAGAAAGAGAGTTCCAAAACTGCTCCATCAGCAGGATTGTTCACCTCTGTGAGTTGAATGCAGTCATCACAGGAAACATTCTGAGAATGCTTCTGTCTAGGTTTGATGTGAAGATATACCCGTTTCGAAGGAAGGCCACAAAGTGGTCCAAATATCCACTTGCAGATTCTACAAAAAGAGTGTTTGAAAGCTGAACTATGAAACCAAGGTTCAACTCTGTGAGTTGAATGCAAACTTCACAAAGAAGTTTCTCACAATGCTTCCGTGTAGTTCTGGGAAGTTTATCCCGTTTCCAACGAAATCCTCAGGAGAGGTCCAAATATCCACTTGCAGATTCTACAGAAAGTGTGTTTGGAAACTGCGCCATCTAAAGGAATGTTCAGCTCTGTTAGTTCAATCCAATGATCACTAACAATTGTCTGTGAATGCTTCCGTTTGGTTTTTAGATGAAGTTATTTCCTTTACTACAGTAGGCCTCAAAGCAGTCCAAATCTCCAATCGCAGATTCTACAAAAAGATTGTTTAAAACCTGCTCTATTTATAGGAATGTTCAACTCTGTGAGTCGAATGCAATCATCACAAAGTAGTTTCTGAGAATGCTTCCATCTAGTTTTTATGTGAAGATTTTCCTTTTCCACCACAGGCCTCAAAGCCCTCCAAATGTCCACTTGCAGATTCTAGATAAAGAGGGTTTCAGAGCTGCTCTGTCAAGAGGAAAGTTCAATTCCTGAAGTGGAACACAAACATCACAAAGCAGTTTCTGAGAATGCTCCTGTTTAGTTTTTCTGTGAAGATGAACCCGTTTCCAACGAAATCTTCACAGAGGTCCACATATCCACTTGCAGAATCCAAAGAAAGAGAGTTTCAAAACTGCTCCATCAGCAGGATTGTTCACCTCTGTGAGTTGAATGCAGTCATCACAGGAAACATTCTGAGAATGCTCCTGTCTAGGTTTGATGTGAAGATATACCCGTTTTGAAGGAAGGCCACAAAGTGGTCCCAATATCCACTTGCAGATTCTACAAAAAGAGTGTTTGAAAGCTGAACTATGAAAGCAAGGTTTAACTCTGTGAGTTGAATGCAAATATCACAAAGAAGTTTCTCAGAATGCTTCCGTGTAGTTCTGGGAAGTTTATCCCGTTTCCAACGAAATCCTCAGAGAGGTCCAAATATCCACTTGCAGATTCTACAGAAAGTGTGTTTGGAAACTGCGCCATCTAAAGGAATGTTCAGCTCTGTTAGTTCAATGCAATGATCACTAAGAATTGTCTGTGAATGCTTCCGTTTGGTTTTTAGATGAAGTTATTTCCTTTACTAAAGTAGGCCTCAAAGCAGTCCAAATCTCCAATCGCAGATTCTACAAAAAGATTGTTTACAACCTGCTCTATCTATAGGAATGTTCAATTCTGTGAGTCGAATGCAATCATCACAAAGTAGTTTCTGAGAATGCTTCCATCTAGTTTTTATGTGAAGATTTTCCTTTTCCACCACAGGCCTCAAAGCCCTCCAAATGTCCACTTGCAGATTCTAGAAAAAGAGGGTTTCAGAGCTGCTCTGTCAAGAGGAAAGTTCAATTCTTGAAGTGGAACAAAAACATCACAAAGCAGTTTCTGAGAATGCTTCTGTTTAGTTTTTCTGTGAAGATGAACCCGTTTCCAACGAAATCTTCACAGAGGTCCACATATCCACTTGCAGAATCCAAAGAAAGAGAGTTTCAAAACTGCTCCATCAGCAGGATTGTTCACCTCTGTGAGTTGAATGCAGTCATCACAGGAAACATTCTGAGAATGCTTCTGTCTAGGTTTGATGTGAAGATATACCCGTTTCGAAGGAAGGCCACAAAGTGGTCCAAATATCCACTTGGCAGATTCTACAAAAAGAGTGTTTGAAAGCTGAACTATGAAAGCAAGGTTCAACTCTGTGAGTTGAATGCAAACATCACAAAGAAGTTTCTCACAATGCTTCCGTGTAGTTCTGGGAAGTTTTCCCGTTTCCAACGAAATCCTCAGAGAAGTCCAAATATCCACTTGCAGATTCTACAGAAAGTGTGTTTGGAAACTGCTCCATCTAAAGGAATGTTCAGCTCTGTTAGTTCAATCCAATGATCACTAAGAATTGTCTGTGAATGCTTCCGTTTGGTTTTTAGATGAAGTTATTTCCTTTACTACAGTAGGCCTCAAAGCAGTCCAAATCTCCAATCGCAGATTCTACAAAAAGATTGTTTACAACCTGCTCTATCTATAGGAATGTTCAACTCTGTGAGTCGAATGCAATCATCACAAAGTAGTTTCTGAGAATGCTTCCATCTAGTTTTTATGTGAAGATTTTCCTTTTCCACCACAGGCCTCAAAGCCCTCCAAATGTCCACTTGCAGATTCTAGAAAAAGAGGGTTTCAGAGCTGCTCTGTCAAGAGGAAAGTTCAATTCTTGAAGTGGAACAGAAACATCACAAAGCAGTTTCTGGGAATGCTCCTGTTTAGTTTTTCTGTGAAGATGAACCCGTTTCCAACGAAATCTTCACAGAGGTCCACATATCCACTTGCAGAATCCAAAGAAAGAGAGTTTCAAAACTGCTCCATCAACAGGATTGTTCACCTCTGTGAGTTGAATGCAGTCATCACAGGAAACATTCTAAGAATGCTTCTGTCTAGGTTTGATGTGAAGATATACCCGTTTCGAAGGAAAGCCACAAAGTGGTCCAAATATCCACTTGCAGATTCTACAAATAGAGTGATTGTATGCTGAACTATGAAAGGAAGGTTCAACTCTGTGAGTTGAATGCAAACATCACAAAGAAGTTTCTGAGAATGCTTCCGTGTAGTTCTGGGAAGTTTATCCCGTTTCCAACGAAATCCTCAGAGAGGTCCAAATATCCACTTGCAGATTCTACAGAAAGTGTGTTTGGAAACTGCTCCATCTAAAGGAATGTTCAGCTCTGTTAGTTCAATCCAATGATCACTAAGAATTGTCTGTGAATGCTTCCGTTTGGTTTTTAGATGAAGTTATTTCCTTTACTACAGTAGGCCTCAAAGCAGTCCAAATCTCCAATCGCAGATTCTACAAAAAGATTGTTTACAACCTGCTCTATCTATAGGAATGTTCAACTCTGTGAGTCGAATGCAATCATCACAAAGTAGTTTCCTGAGAATGCTTCCATCTAGTTTTTATGTGAAGATTTTCCTTTTCCACCACAGGCCTCAAAGCCCTCCAAATGTCCACTTGCAGATTCTAGAAAAAGAGGTTTTCAGAGCTGCTCTGTCAAGAGGAAAGTTCAATTCTTGAAGAGGAACACAAACATCACAAAGCAGTTTCTGAGAATGCTTCTGTTTAGTTTTTCTGTGAAGATGAACCCGTTTCCAACGAAATCTTCACAGAGGTCCACATATCAACTTGCAGAATCCAAAGAAAGAGAGTTTCAAAACTGCTCCATCAACAGGATTGTTCACCTCTGTGAGTTGAATGCAGTCATCACAGGAAACATTCTGAGAATGCTTCTGTCTAGGTTTGATGTGAAGATATACCCGTTTCGAAGGAAGGCCACAAAGTGGTCCAAATATCCACTTGCAGATTCTACAAAAAGAGTGTTTGAAAGCTGAACTATGAAAGCAAGGTTCAACTCTGTGAGTTGAATGCAAACATCACAAAGAAGTTTCTCAGAATGCTTCCGTGTAGTTCTGGGAAGTTTATCCCGTTTCCAACGAAATCCTCAGAGAAGTCCAAATATCCACTTGCAGATTCTACAGAAAGTGGGTTTGGAAACTGCTCCATCTAAAGGAATGTTCAGCTCTGTTAGTTCAATCCAATGATCACTAAGAATTGTCTGTGAATGCTTCCGTTTGGTTTTTAGATGAAGTTATTTCCTTTACTACAGTAGGCCTCAAAGCAGTCCAAATCTCCAATCGCAGATTCTACAAAAAGATTGTTTACAACCTGTTCTATCTATAGGAATGTTCAACTCTGTGAGTCGAATGCAATCATCACAAAGTAGTTTCTGAGAATGCTTCCATCTAGTTTTTATGTGAAGATTTTCCTTTTCCACCACAAGCATCAAAGCCCTCCAAATGTCCACTTGCAGATTCTAGAAATAGAGGGTTTCAGAGCTGCTCTGTCAAGAGGAAAGTTCAATTCTTGAAGTGGAACACAAACATCACAAAGCAGTTTCTGAGAAAGCTCCTGTTTAGTTTTTCTGTGAAGATGAACCCGTTTCCAACGAAATCTTCACAGAGGTCCACATATCCACTTGCAGAATCCAAAGAAAGAGAGTTTCAAAACTGCTCCATCAGCAGGATTGTTCACCTCTGTGAGTTGAATGCAGTCATCACAGGAAACATTCTGAGAATGCTTCTGTCTAGGTTTGATGAGAAGATATACCCGTTTCGAAGGAAGGCCACAAAGTGGTCCAAATATCCACTTGCAGATTCTACAAAAAGAGTGTTTGAAAGCTGAACTATGAAAGCAAGGTTCCACTCTGTGAGTTGAATGCAAACATCACAAAGAAGTTTCTCAGCATGCTTCCGTGTAGTTCTGGGAAGTTTATCCCGTTTCCAACGAAATCCTCAGAGAGGTCCAAATATCCACTTGCAGATTCTACAGAAAGTGGGTTTGGAAACTGCTCCATCTAAAGGAATGTTCAGCTCTGTTAGTTCAATCCAATGATCACTAAGAATTGTACTGTGAATGCTTCCGTTTGGTTTTTAGATGAGAGTAAATTTCCTTTACTACAGTAGGCCTCAAAGCAGTCCAAATCTCCAATCGCAGATTCTACAAAAAGATTGTTTACAACCTGCTCTATCTATAGGAATGTTCAACTCTGTGAGTCGAATGCAATCATCACAAAGAAGTTTCTGAGAATGCTTCCATCTAGTTTTTATGTGAAGATTTTCCTTTTGCACCACAGGCCTCAAAGCCCTCCAAATGTCCACTTGCAGATTCTAGAAAAAGAGGGTTTCAGAGCTGCTGTCAAGAGGAAAGTTCAATTCTTGAAGTGGAACACAAACATCACAAAGCAGTTTCTGAGAATGCTTCCTGTTTAGTTTTTCTGTGAAGATGAACCCGTTTCCAACGAAATCTTCACAGAGGTCCACATATCCACTTGCAGAATCCAAAGAAAGAGAGTTTCAAAACTGCTCCATCAGCAGGATTGTTCACCTCTGTGAGTTGAATGCAGTCATCACAGGAAAACATTCTGAGAATGCTTCTGTCTAGGTTTGATGTGAAGATATACCCGTTTCGAAGGAAGGCCACAAAGTGGTCCAAATATCCACTTGCAGATTCTACAAAAAGAGTGTTTGAAAGCTGAACTATGAAAGCAAGGTTCAACTCTGTGAGTTGAATGCAAACATCACAAAGAAGTTTCTCAGAATACTTCCGTGTAGTTCTGGGAATTTTATCCCGTTTCCAACGAAATCCTCAGAGAGGTCCAAATATCCACTTGCAGATTCTACAGAAAGTGTGTTTGGAAACTGCTCCATCTAAAGGAATGTTCAGCTCTGTTAGTTCAATCCAATGATCACTAAGAATTGTCTGTGAATGCTTCCGTTTGGTTTTTAGATGAAGTTATTTCCTTTACTACAGTAGGCCTCAAAGCAGTCCAAATCTCCAATCGCAGATTCTACAAAAAGATTGTTTACAACCTGCTCTACCTATAGGAATGTTCAACTCTGTGAGTCGAATGCAATCATCACAAAGTAGTTTCTGAGAATGCTTCCATCTAGTTTTTATGTGAAGAGTTTCCTTTTCCACCACAGGCCTCAAAGCCCTCCAAATGTCCACTTGCAGATTCTAGAAAAAGAGGGTTTCAGAGCTGCTCTGTCAAGAGGAAAGTTCAATTCCTGAAGTGGAACACAAACATCACAAAGCAGTTTCTGAGAATGCTCCTGTTTAGATTTTCTGTGAAGATGAACCCGTTTCCAACGAAATCTTCACAGAGGTCCACATATCCACTTGCAGAATCCAAAGAAAGAGAGTTTCAAAACTGCTCCATCAACAGGATTGTTCACCTCTGTGAGTTGAATGCAGTCATCACAGGAAACATTCTGAGAATGCTTCTGTCTAGGTTTGATGTGAAGATATACGCGTTTCGAAGGAAGGCCACAAAGTGGTCCAAATATCCACTTGCAGATTCTACAAAAAGAGTGTTTGAAAGCTGAACTATGAAAGCAAGGTTCAACTCTGTGAGTTGAATGCAAACATCACAAAGAAGTTTCTCAGAATGCTTCCGTGTAGTTCTGGGAAGTTTATCCCGTTTCCAACGAAATCCTCAGAGAGGTCCAAATATCCACTTGCAGATTCTACAGAAAGTGTGTTTGGAAACTGCTCCATCTAAAGGAATGTTCAGCTCTGTTAGTTCAATGCAATGATCACTAAGAATTGTCTGTGAATGCTTCCGTTTGGTTTTTAGATGAAGTTATTTCCTTTACTACAGTAGGCCTCAAAGCAGTCCAAATCTCCAATCGCAGATTCTACAAAAACATTGTTTACAACCTGCTCTATCTATAGTAATGTTCAACTCTGTGAGTCGAATGCAATCATCACAAAGTAGTTTCTGAGAATGCTTCCATCTAGTTTTTATGTGAAGATTTTCCTTTTCCACCACAGGCCTCAAAGCCCTCCAAATGTCCACTTGCAGATTCTAGAAAAAGAGGGTTTCAGAGCTGCTCTGTCAAGAGGAAAGTTCAATTCTTGAAGTGGAACACAAACATCACAAAGCAGTTTCTGAGAATGCTCCTGTTTAGTTTTTCTGTGAAGATGTACCCGTTTCCAACGAAATCTTCACAGAGTTCCACATATCCACTTGCAGAATCCAAAGAAAGAGAGTTTCAAAACTGCTCCAACAGCAGGATTGTTCACCTCCTGTGAGTTGAATGCAGTCATCACAGGAAACATTCTGAGAATGCTTCTGTCTAGGTTTGATGTGAAGATATACCCGTTTCGAAGGAAGGCCACAAAGTGGTCCAAATATCCACTTGCAGATTCTACAAAAAGAGTGTTTGAAAGCTGAACTATGAAAGCAAGGTTCAACTCTGTGAGTTGAATGCAAACATCACAAAGAAGTTTCTCACGAATGTCCGTGTATTTCTGGGAAGTTTATCCCATTTCCAACGAAATCCTCAGAGAGGTCCAAATATCCACTTGCAGATTCTACAGAAAGTGTGTTTGGAAACTGCTCAATCTAAAGGAATGTTCAGCTCTGTTAGTTCAATCCAATGATCACTAAGAATTGTCTGTGAATGCTTCCGTTTGGTTTTTAGATGAAGTTATTTCCTTTACTACAGTAGGCCTCAAAGCAGTCCAAATCTCCAATCGCAGATTCTATAAAAAGATTGTTTACAACCTGCTCTATCTATAGGAATGTTCAACTCTGTGAGTCGAATGCAATCATCACAAAGTAGTTTCTGAGAATGCTTCCATCTAGTTTTTATGTGAAGATTTTCCTTTTCCACCACAGGCCTCAAAGCCCTCCAAATGTCCACTTGCAGATTCTAGAATAAGAGGGTTTTAGAGCTGCTCTGTCAAGAGGAAAGTTCAATTCCTGAAGTGGAACACAAACATCACAAAGCAGTTTCTGAGAATGCTCCTGTTTAGTTTTTCTGTGAAGATGAACCCGTTTCCAACGAAATCTTCACAGAGGTCCACATATCCACTTGCAGAATCCAAAGAAAGAGAGTTTCAAAACTGCTCCATCAGCAGGATTGTTCACCTCTGTGAGTTGAATGCAGTCATCACAGGAAACATTCTGAGAATGCTTCTGTCTAGGTTTGATGTGAAGATATACCCGTTTCGAAGGAAGGCCACAAAGTGGTCCAAATATCCACTTGCAGATTCTACAAAAAGAGTGTTTCAAAGCTGAACTATGAAAGCAAGGTTCAACTCTGTGAGTTGAATGCAAACATCACAAAGAAGTTTCTCAGAATACTTCCGTGTAGTTCTGGGAAGTTTATCCCGTTTCCAACGAAA
Organism: Homo sapiens; assembly: GCF_000001405.40. Taxonomy (NCBI): domain Eukaryota; kingdom Metazoa; phylum Chordata; class Mammalia; order Primates; family Hominidae; genus Homo; species Homo sapiens. Next base: position 53,043,819 of record NC_000011.10, on the reverse strand, counting down.
TCCTCAGAGAAGTCCAAATATCCACTTGCAGATTCTACAGAAAGTGGGTTTGGAAACTGCTCCACCTAAAGGAATGTTCAGCTCTGTTAGTTCAATCCAATCATCACTAAGAATTGTCTGTGAATGCTTCCGTTTGGTTTTTAGATGAAGTTATTTCCTTTACTACAGTAGGCCTCAAAGCAGTCCAAATCTCCAATCGCAGATTCTACAAAAAGATTTTTTACAACCTGCTCTATCTATAGGAACGTTCAACTCTGTGAGTCGAATGCAATCATCAGAAAGTAGTTTCTGAGAATGCTTCCATCTAGTTTTTATGTGAAGATTTTCCTTTTCCACCACAGGCCTCAAAGCCCTCCAAATGTCCACTTGCAGATTCTAGAATAAGAGGGTTTCAGAGCTGCTCTGTCAAGAGGAAAGTTCAATTCCTGAAGTGGAACACAAACATCACAAAGCAGTTTCTGAGAATGCTTCTGTTTAGTTTTTCTGTGAAGATGAACCCGTTTCCAACGAAATCTTCACAGAGGTCCACATATCCACTTGCAGAATCCAAAGAAAGAGAGTTTCAAAACTGCTCCATCAGCAGGATTGTTCACCTCTGTGAGTTGAATGCAGTCATCACAGGAAACATTCTGAGAATGCTTCTGTCTAGGTTTGATATGAAGATATACCCGTTTCGAAGCAAGGCCACAAAGTGGTCCAAATATCCACTTGCAGATTCTACAAAAAGAGTGTTTGAAAGCTGAACTATGAACGCAAGGTTCAACGCTGTGAGTTGAACGCAAACATCACAAGAAGTTTCTCAGAATGCTTCCGTGTAGTTCTGGGAAGTTTATCCCGTTTCCAACGAAATCCTCAGAGAAGTCCAAATATCCACTTGCAGTTTCTACAGAAAGTGTGTTTGGAAACTGCTCCATCTAAAGGAATGTTCAGCTCTGTTAGTTCAATCCAATGATCACTAAGAATTGTCTGTGAATGCTTCCGTTTTGTTTTTAGATGAAGTTATTTCCTTTACTACAGTAGGCCTCAAAGCAGTCCAAATCTCCAATCGCAGATTCTACAAAAAGATTGTTTACAACCTGCTCTATCTATAGGAATGTTCAACTCTGTGAGTCGAATGCAATCATCACAAAGTAGTTTCTGAGAATGCTTCCATCTAGTTTTTATGTGAAGATTTTCCTTTTCCACCACAGGCCTCAAAGCCCTCCAAATGTCCACTTGCAGATTCTAGAAAAAGAGGGTTTCAGAGCTGCTCTTTCAAGAGGAAAGTTCAATTCCTGAAGTGGAACACAAACATCACAAAGCAGTTTCTGAGAATGCTCCTGTTTAGTTTTTCTGTGAAGATGAACCCGTTTCCAACGAAATCTTCACAGAGGTCCACATATCCACTTGCAGAATCCAAAGAAAGAGAGTTTCAAAACTGCTCCATCAGCAGGATTGTTCACCTCTGTGAGTTGAATGCAGTCATCCCAGGAAACATTCTGAGAATGCTTCTGTCTAGGTTTGATGTGAAGATATACCCGTTTCGAAGGAAGGCCACAAAGTGGTCCAAATATCCACTTGCAGATTCTACAAAAAGAGTGTTTGAAAGCTGAACTATGAAAGCAAGGTTCAACTCTGTGAGTTGAATGCAAACATCACAAAGAAGTTTCTCAGAATGCTTCCGTGTAGTTCTGGGAAATTTATCCCGTTTCCAACGAAATCCTCAGAGAGGTCCAAATATCCACTTGCAGATTCTACAGAAAGTGTGTATGGAAACTGCGCCATCTAAAGGAATGTTCAGCTCTGTTAGTTCAATCCAATGATCACTAAGAATTGTCTGTGAATGCTTCCGTTTGGTTTTTAGATGAAGTTATTTCCTTTACTACAGTAGGCCTCAAAGCAGTCCAAATCTCCAATCGCAGATTCTACAAAAAGATTGTTTACAACCTGCTCTATCTATAGGAATGTTCAACTCTGTGAGTCGAATGCAATCATCACAAAGTAGTTTCTGAGAATGCTTCCATCTAGTTTTTATGTGAAGATTTTCCTTTTCCACCACAGGCCTCAAAGCCCTCCAAATGTCCACTTGCAGATTCTAGAAAAAGAGGGTTTCAGAGCTGCTCTGTCAAGAGGAAAGTTCAATTCTTGAAGTGGAACACAAACATCAAAAAGCAGTTTCTGAGAATGCTTCTGTTTAGTTTTTCTGTGAAGATGAACCCGTTTCCAACGAAATCTTCACAGAGGTCCACATATCCACTTGCAGAATCCAAAGAAAGAGAGTTTCAAAACTGCTCCATCAACAGGATTGTTCACCTCTGTGAGTTGAATGCAGTCATCACAGGAAACATTCTGAGAATGCTTCTGTCTAGGTTTGATGTGAAGATATAGCCTTTTCGAAGGAAGGCCACAAAGTGGTCCAAATATCCACTTGCAGATTCTACAAAAAGAGTGTTTGAAAGCTGAACTATCAAAGCAAGGTTCAACTCTGTGAGTTGAATGCAAACATCACAAAGAAGTTTCTCACAATGCTTCCGTGTAGTTCTGGGAAGTTTATCCCGTTTCCAACGAAATCCTCAGAGAAGTCCAAATATCCACTTGCAGATTCTACAGAAAGTGGGTTTGGAAACTGCTCCATCTAAAGGAATGTTCAGCTCTGTTAGTTCAATGCAATGATCACTAAGAATTGTCTGTGAATGCTTCCGTTTGGTTTTTAGATGAAGTTATTTCCTTTACTACAGAAGGCCTCAAAGCAGTCCAAATCTCCAATCGCAGATTCTACAAAAAGATTGTTTACAACCTGCTCTATCTATAGGAATGTTCAACTCTGTGAGTCGAATGCAATCATCACAAAGTAGTTTCTGAGAATGCTTCCATCTAGTTTTTATGGGAAGATTTTCCTTTTCCACCACAGGCCTCAAAGCCCTCCAAATGTCCACTTGCAGATTCTAGAAAAAGAGGGTTTCAGAGCTGCTCTGTCAAGAGGAAAGTTCAATTCTTGAAGTGGAACACAAACATCACAAAGCAGTTTCTGAGAATGCTTCTGTTTAGTTTTTCTGTGAAGATGAACCCATTTCCAACGAAATCTTCACAGAGGTCCACATATCAACTTGCAGAATCCAAAGAAAGAGAGTTTCAAAACTGCTGCATCAACAGGATTGTTCACCTCTGTGAGTTGAATGCAGTCATCACAGGAAACATTCTGAGAATGCTTCTGTCTAGGTTTGATGTGAAGATATACCCGTTTCGAAGGAAGGCCACAAAGTGGCCCAAATATCCACTTGCAGATTCTACAAAAGGAGTGTTTGAAAGCTGAACTATGAAAGCAAGGTTCAACTCTGTGAGTTGAATGCAAACATCACAAAGAAGTTTCTCACAATGCTCCGTGTAGTTCTGGGAAGTATATCCCGTTTCCAACGAAATCCTCAGAGAAGTCCAAATATCCACTTGCAGATTCTACAGAAAGTGGGTTTGGAAACTGCTCCATCTAAAGGAATGTTCAGCTCTGTTAGTTCAATCCAATGATCACTAAGAATTGTACTGTGAATGCGTCCGTTTGGTTTTTAGATGAAGTTATTTCCTTTACTACAGTAGGCCTCAAAGCATTCCAAATGTCCAATCGCAGATTCTACAAAAAGATTGTTTACAACCTGCTCTATCTATAGGAATGTTCAACTCTGTGAGTCGAATGCAATCATCACAAAGTAGTTTCTGAGAATGCTTCCATCTAGTTTTTATGTGAAGATTTTCCTTTTCCACCACAGGCCTCAAAGCCCTCCAAATGTCCACTTGCAGATTCTAGAAAAAGAGGGTTTCAGAGCTGCTCTTTCAAGAGGAAAGTTCAATTCCTGAAGTGGAACACAAACATCACAAAACAGTTTCTGAGAATGATCCTGTTTAGTTTTTCTGTGAAGATGAACCCGTTTCCAACGAAATCTTCACAGAGGTCCACATATCCACTTGCAGAATCCAAAGAAAGAGAGTTTCAAAACTGCTCCATCAGCAGGATTGTTCACCTCTGTGAGTTGAATGCAGTCATCACAGGAAACATTCTGAGAATGCTTCTGTCTAGGTTTGATGTGAAGATATACCCGTTTCGAAGGAAGGCCACAAAGTGGTCCAAATATCCACTTGCAGATTCTACAAAAAGAGTGTTTGAAAGCTGAACTATGAAAGCAAGGTTCAACTCTGTGAGTTGAATGCAAACATCACAAAGAAGTTTCTCACAATGCTTCCGTGTAGTTCTGGGAAGTTTATCCCGTTTCCAACGAAATCCTCAGAGAGGTCCAAATATCCACTTGCAGATTCTACGGAAAGTGTGTTTGGAAACTGCGCCATCTAAAGCAATGTTCAGCTCTGTTAGTTCAATGCAATGATCACTAAGAATTGTCTGTGAATGCTTCCGTTTGGTTTTTAGATGAAGTTATTTCCTTTACTACAGTAGGCCTCAAAGCAGTCCAAATCTCCAATCGCAGATTCTACAAAAAGATTGTTTACAACCTGCTCTATCTATAGGAATGTTCAACTCTGTGAGTCGAATGCAATCATCACAAAGTAGTTTCTGAGAATGCTTCCATCTAGTTTTTATGTGAAGATTTTCCTTTTCCACCACAGGCCTCAAAGCCCTCCAAATGTCCACTTGCAGATTCTAGAAAAAGAGGGTTTCAGAGCTGCTCTGTCAAGAGGAAAGTTCAATTCTTGAAGTGGAACACAAACATCACAAAGCAGTTTCTGAGAATGCTTCTGTTTAGTTTTTCTGTGAAGATGAACCCGTTTCCAACGAAATCTTCACAGAGGTCCACATATCCACTTGCAGAATCCAAAGAAAGAGAGTTTCAAAACTGCTCCATCAGCAGGATTGTTCACCTCTGTGAGTTGAATGCAGTCATCACAGGAAACATTCTGAGAATGCTTCTGTCTAGGTTTGATGTGAAGATACACCCTTTTCAAAGGAAGGCCACAAAGTGGTCCAAATATCCACTTGCAGATTCTACAAAAAGAGTGTTTGAAAGCTGAACTATGAAAGCAAGGTTCAACTTTGTGAGTTGAATGCAAACATCACAAAGAAGTTTGCTCAGAATGCTTCCGTGTAGTTCTGGGAAGTTTATCCCGTTTCCAACGAAATCCTCAGAGAAGTCCAAATATCCACTTGCAGATTCTACAGAAAGTGTGTTTGGAAACTGCTCCATCTAAAGGAATGTTCAGCTCTGTTAGTTCAATCCAATGATCACTAAGAATTGTCTGTGAATGCTTCCGTTTGGTTTTTAGATGAAGTTATTTCCTTTACTACAGTAGGCCTCAAAGCAGTCCAAATCTCCAATCGCAGATTCTACAAAAAGATTGTTTACAACCTGCTCTATCTATAGGAATGTTCAACTCTGTGAGTCAAATGCAATCATCACAAAGTAGTTTCTGAGAATGCTTCTATCTAGTTTTTATCTGCAGATATTTACGTTTCCGCCACAGGCCTCAAAGCCCTCCAAATGTCCACTTGCAGATTCAAGAAAAGCAATGTTTCATAGATGCTCTGTCAAGAGGAAAGTTCAACTCTGCAAGTTGAACACAAACATCACAAAGTAGTTTCTGAGACTGCTTCTGTTTAGTTTTTCTGTGAAGATGAACCCGTTTCCAACGAAATCTTCACAGAGGTCCACATATCTACTTGCAGAATCCAAAGAAAGAGAGTTTCAAAACTGCTCCATCAGCAGGATTGTTCACCTCTGTGAGTTGAATGCAGTCATCACAGGAAACATTCTGAGAATGCTTCTGTCTAGGTTTGATGTAAAGATATACCCGTTTCAAAGGAAGGCCACAAAGTGGTCCAAATATCCACTTGCAGATTCTACAAAAAGAGTGTTTGAAAGCTGAACTATGAAAGCAAGGTTCAACTCTGTGAGTTGAATGCAAACATCACAAAGAAGTTTCTCACAATGCTTCCGTGTAGTTCTGGGAAGTTTATCCCGTTTCCAACGAAATCCTCAGAGAGGTCCAAATATCCACTTGCAGATTCTACAGAAAGTGTGTTTGGAAACTGCTCCATCTAAAGGAATGTTCAGCTCTGTTAGTTCAATCCAATGATCACTAAGAATTGTCTGTGAATGCTTCCGTTTGGTTTTTAGATGAAGTTATTTCCTTTACTACAGTAGGCCTCAAAGCAGTCCAAATCTCCAATCGCAGATTCTACAAAAAGATTGTTTACAACCTGCTCTATCTATAGGAATGTTCAACTCTGTGAGTCGAATGCAATCATCACAAAGTAGTTTCTGAGAATGCTTCCATCTAGTTTTTATGTGAAGATTTTCCTTTTCCACCACAGGCCTCAAAGCCCTCCAAATGTCCACTTGCAGATTCTAGAATAAGAGGGTTTCAGAGCTGCTCTGTGAAGAGGAAAGTTCAATTCCTGAAGTGGAACACAAACATCACAAAGCAGTTTCTGAGAATGCTTCCTGTTTAGTTTTTCTGTGAAGATGAACCCGTTTCCAACGAAATCTTCACAGAGGTCCACATATCCACTTGCAGAATCCAAAGAAAGAGAGTTTCAAAACTGCTCCATCAGCAGGATTGTTCACCTCTGTGAGTTGAATGCAGTCATCACAGGAAAACATTCTGAGAATGCTTCTGTCTAGGTTTGATGTGAAGATATACCCGTTTCGAAGGAAGGACACAAAGTGTCCAAATATCCACTTGCAGATTCTACAAAAAGAGTGTTTGAAAGCTGAACTATGAAAGCAAGGTTCAACTCTGTGAGTTGAATGCAAACATCACAAAGAAGTTTCTCAGAATGCTTCCGTGTAGTTCTGGGAAGTTTATCCCGTTTCCAACGAAATCCTCAGAGAAGTCCAAATATCCACTTGCAGATTCTACAGAAAGTGTGTTTGGAAACTGCTCCATCTAAAGGAATGTTCACCTCTGTTAGTTCAATCCAATGATCATTAAGAATTGTCTGTGAATGCTTCCGTTTGGTTTTTAGATGAAGTTATTTCCTTTACTACAGTAGGCCTCAAAGCAGTCCAAATCTCCAATCGCAGATTCTACAAAAAGATTGTTTACAACCTGCTCTATCTATAGGAATGTTCAACTCTGTGAGTCGAATGCAATCATCACAAAGTAGTTTCTGAGAATGCTTCCATCTAGTTTTTATGTGAAGATTTTCCTTTTCCACCACAGGCCTCAAAGCCCTCCAAATGTCCACTTGCAGATTCTAGAATAAGAGGGTTTCAGAGCTGCTCTGTCAAGAGGAAAGTTCAATTCCTGAAGTGGAACACAAACATCACAAAGCAGTTTCTGAGAATGCTTCTGTTTAGTTTTTCTGTGAAGATGAACCCGTTTCCAACGAAATCTTCACAGAGGTCCACATATCCACTTGCAGAATCCAAAGAAAGAGAGTTTCAAAACTGCTCCATCAGCAGGATTGTTCACCTCTGTGAGTTGAATGCAGTCATCACAGGAAACATTCTGAGAATGCTTCTGTCTAGGTTTGATGTGAAGATATACCCGTTTCGAAGGAAGGCCACAAAGTGGTCCAAATATCCACTTGCAGATTCTACAAAAAGAGTGTTTGAAAGCTGAACTATGAAAGCAAGGTTCAACTCTGTGAGTTGAATGCAAACATCACAAAGAAGTTTCTCAGAATCCTTCCGTGTAGTTCTGGGAAGTTTATCCCGTTTCCAACGAAATCCTCAGAGAGGTCCAAATATCCACTTGCAGATTCTACAGAAAGTGTGTTTGGAAACTGCGCCATCTAAAGGAATGTTCAGCTCTGTTAGTTCAATGCAATGATCACTAAGAATTGTCTGTGAATGCTTCCGTTTGGTTTTTAGATGAAGTTATTTCCTTTACTACAGTAGGCCTCAAAGCAGTCCAAATCTCCAATCGCAGATTCTACAAAAAGATTGTTTACAACCTGCTCTATCTATAGGAATGTTCAACTCTGTGAGTCGAATGCAATCATCACAAAGTAGTTTCTGAGAATGCTTCCATCTAGTTTTTCTGTGAAGATTTTCCTTTTCCACCACAGGCCTCAAAGCCTTCCAAATGTCCACTTGCAGATTCTAGAATAAGAGGGTTTCAGAGCTGCTCTGTCAAGAGGAAAGTTCAATTCCTGAAGTGGAACACAAACATCACAAAGCAGTTTCTGAGAATGTTCCTGTTTAGTTTTTCTGTGAAAATGAACCCGTTTCCAACGAAATCTTCACAGAGGTCCACATATCCACTTGCAGAATCCAAAGAAAGAGAGTTTCAAAACTGCTCCATCAGCAGGATTGTTCACCTCTGTGAGTTGAATGCAGTCATCACAGGAAACATTCTGAGAATGCTTCTGTCTAGGTTTGATGTGAAGATATAGCCTTTTCGAAGGAAGGCCACAAAGTGGTCCAAATATCCACTTGCAGATTCTACAAAAAGAGTGTTTGAAAGCTGAACTATCAAAGCAAGGTTCAACTCTGTGAGTTGAATGCAAACATCACAAAGAAGTTTCTCACAATGCTTCCGTGTAGTTCTGGGAAGTTTATCCCGTTTCCAACGAAATCCTCAGAGAAGTCCAAATATCCACTTGCAGATTCTACAGAAAGTGTGTTTGGAAACTGCGCCATCTAAAGGAATGTTCAGCTCTGTTAGTTCAATGCAATGATCACTAAGAATTGTCTGTGAATGCTTCCGTTTGATTTTTAGATGAAGTTATTTCCTTTACTACAGTAGGCCTCAAAGCAGTCCAAATCTCCAATCGCAGATTCTACAAAAAGATTGTTTACAACCTGCTCTATCTATAGGAATGTTCAACTCTGTGAGTCGAATGCAATCATCACAAAGTAGTTTCTGAGAATGCTTCCATCTAGTTTTTATGTGAAGATTTTCCTTTTCCACCACAGGCCTCAAAGCCCTCCAAATGTCCACTTGCAGATTCTAGAAAAAGAGGGTTTCAGAGCTGCTCTGTCAAGAGGAAAGTTCAATTCTTGAAGTGGAACACAAACATCACAAAGCAGTTTCTGAGAATGCTCCTGTTTAGTTTTTCTGTGAAGATGAACCCGTTTCCAACGAAATGTTCACAGAGGTCCACATATCCACTTGCAGAATGCAAAGAATGAGAGTTTCAAAACTGCTCCATCAGCAGGATTGTTCACCTCTGTGAGTTGAATGCAGTCATCACAGGAAACATTCTGAGAATGCTTCTGTCTAGGTTTGATGTGAAGATATACCCGTTTCGAAGGAAGGCCACAAAGTGGTCCAAATATCCACTTGCAGATTGTACAAAAAGAGTGTTTGAAAGCTGAACTATGAAAGCAAGGTTCAACTCTGTGAGTTGAATGCAAACATCACAAAGAAGTTTCTCAGAATACTTCCGTGTAGTTCTGGGAAGTTTATCCCGTTTCCAACGAAATCCTCAGAGAAGTCCAAATATCCACTTGCAGATTCTACAGAAAGTGTGTTTGGAAACTGCGCCATCTAAAGGAATGTTCAGCTCTGTTAGTTCAATGCAATGATCACTAAGAATTGTCTGTGAATGCTTCCGTTTGGTTTTTAGATGAAGTTATTTCCTTTACTACAGTAGGCCTCAAAGCAGTCCAAATCTCCAATCGCAGATTCTACAAAAAGATTGTTTACAACCTGCTCTATCTATAGGAATGTTCAACTCTGTGAGTCGAATGCAATCATCACAAAGTAGTTTCTGAGAATGCTTCCATCTAGTTTTTATGTGAAGATTTTCCTTTTCCACCACAGGCCTCAAAGCCCTCCAAATGTCCACTTGCAGATTCTAGAAAAAGAGGGTTCAGAGCTGCTCTGTAAAGAGGAAAGTTCAATTCTTGAAGTGGAACACAAACATCACAAAGTAGTTTCTGAGAATGCTTCTGTTTAGTTTTTCTGTGAAGATGAACCCGTTTCCAACGAAATCTTCACAGAGTTCCACATATCTACTTGCAGAATCCAAAGAAAGAGAGTTTCAAAAGTGCTCCATAAACAGGATTGTTCACCTCTGTGAGTTGAATGCAGTCATCATAGGAAACATTCTGAGAATGCTTCTGTGTAGGTTTGATGTGAAGATATACTCGTTTCGAAGGAAGGCCACAAAGTGGTCCAAATATCCACATGCAGATTCTACAAAAAGAGTGTTTGAAAGCTGAACTATGAAAGCAAGGTTCAACTCTGTGAGTTGAATGCAAACATCACAGAGAAGTTTCTCACAATGCTTCCGTGTAGTTCTGGGAAGTTTATCCCGTTTCCAACGAAATCCTCAGAGAAGTCCAAATATCCACTTGCAGATTCTACAGAAAGTGGGTTTGGAAACTGCTCCATCTAAAGGAATGTTCAGCTCTGTTAGTTCAATCCAATGATCACTAAGAATTGTCTGTGAATGCTTCCGTTTGGTTTTTAGATGAAGTTATTTCCTTTACTACAGTAGGCCTCAAAGCAGTCCAAATCTCCAATCGCAGATTCTACAAAAAGATTGTTTACAACCTGCTCTATCTATAGGAATGTTCAACTCTGTGAGTCGAATGCAATCATCACAAAGTAGTTTCTGAGAATGCTTCCATCTAGTTTTTATGTGAAGATTTTCCTTTTCCACCACAGGCCTCAAAGCCCTCCAAATGTCCACTTGCAGATTCTAGAAAAAGAGGGTTTCAGAGCTGCTCTGTCAAGAGGAAAGTTCAATTCTTGAAGTGGAACACAAACATCACAAAGTAGTTTCTGAGAATGCTTCTGTTTAGTTTTTCTGTGAAGATGAACCCATTTCCAACGAAATCTTCACAGAGGTCCACATATCAACTTGCAGAATCCAAAGAAAGAGAGTTTCAAAAGTGCTCCATCAACAGGATTGTTCACCTCTGTGAGTTGAATGCAGTCATCACAGGAAACATTCTGAGAATGCTTCCTGTCTAGGTTTGATGTGAAGATATACCCGTTTCGAAGGAAGGCCACAAAGTGGTCCAAATATCCACTTGCAGATTCTACAAAAAGAGTGTTTGAAAGCTGAACTATGAAAGCAAGGTTCAACTCTGTGAGTTGAATGCAAACATCACAAAGAAGTTTCTCAGAATGCTTCCGTGTAGTTCTGGGAAGTTTATCCCGTTTCCAACGAAATCCTCAGAGAAGTCCAAATATCCACTTGCAGATTCTACAGAAAGTGTGTTTGGAAACTGCTCCATCTAAAGGAATGTTCAGCTCTGTTAGTTCAATGCAATGATCACTAAGAATTGTCTGTGAATGCTTCCGTTTGGTTTTTAGATGAAGTTATTTCCTTTACTACAGTAGGCCTCAAAGCAGTCCAAATCTCCAATCGCAGATTCTACAAAAAGATTGTTTACAACCTGCTCTATCTATAGGAATGTTCAACTCTGTGAGTCGAATGCAATCATCACAAAGTAGTTTCTGAGAATGCTCCATCTAGTTTTTATGTGAAGATTTTCCTTTTCCACCACAGGCCTCAAAGCCCTCCAAATGTCCACTTGCAGATTCTAGAATAAGAGGATTTCAGAGCTGCTCTGTCAAGAGGAAAGTTCAATTCCTGAAGTGGAACACAAACATCACAAAGCAGTTTCTGAGAATGCTTCCTGTTTAGTTTTTCTGTGAAGATGAACACGTTTCCAACGAAATCTTCACAGAGGTCCACATATCCACTTGCAGAATCCAAAGAAAGAGAGTTTCAAAACTGCTCCATCAGCAGGATTGTTCACCTCTGTGAGTTGAATGCAGTCATCACAGGAAACATTCTGAGAATGCTTCTGTCTAGGTTTGATGTGAAGATATACCCGTTTCGAAGGAAGGCCACAAAGTGGTCCAAATATCCACTTGCAGATTCTACAAAAAGAGTGTTTGAAAGCTGAACTATGAAAGCAAGGTTCAACTCTGTGAGTTGAATGCAAACATCACAAAGAAGTTTCTCAGAATGCTTCCGTGTTGTTCTGGGAAGTTTATCCCGTTTCCAACGAAATCCTCAGAGAAGTCCAAATATCCAGTTGCAGATTCTACAGAAAGTGTGTTTGGAAACTGCTCCATCTAAAGGAATGTTCAGCTCTGTTAGTTCACTCCAGTGATCACTAAGGATTGTCTGTGAATGCTTCCGTTTGGTTTTTAGATGAAGTTATTTCCTTTACTACAGTAGGCCTCAAAGCAGTCCAAATCTCCAATCGCAGACTCTACAAAAAGATTGTTTACAACCTGCTCTATCTATAGGAATGTTCAACTCTGTGAGTCGAATGCAGTCATCACAAAGTAGTTTCTGAGAATGCTTCCATCTAGTTTTTATGTGAAGATTTTCCTTTTCCACCACAGGCCTCAAAGCCCTCCAAATGTCCACTTGCAGATTCTAGAAAAAGAGGGTTTCAGAGCTGCTCTGTCAAGAGGAAAGTTCAATTCCTGAAGTGGAACACAAACATCACAAAGCAGTTTCTGAGAATGCTTCTGTTTAGTTTTTCTGTGAAGATGAACCCGTTTCCAACGAAATCTTCACAGAGGTCCACATATCAACTTGCAGAATCCAAAGAAAGAGAGTTTCAAAACTGCTCCATCAACAGGATTGTTCACCTCTGTGAGTTGAATGCAGTCATCACAGGAAACATTCTGAGAATGCTTCTGTCTAGGTTTGATGTGAAGATATACCCGTTTCGAAGGAAGGCCACAAAGTGGTCCAAATATCCACTTGCAGATTCTACAAAAAGAGTGTTTGAAAGCTGAACTATGAAAGCAAGGTTCAACTCTGTGAGTTGAATGCAAACATCACAAAGAAGTTTCTCAGAATGCTTCCGTGTAGTTCTGGGAAATTTAGCCCGTTTCCAACGAAATCCTCAGAGAGGTCCAAATATCCACTTGCAGATTCTACAGAAAGTGTGTTTGGAAACTGCTCCATCTAAAGGAATGTTCAGCTCTGTTAGTTCAATCCAATGATCACTAAGAATTGTCTGTGAATGCTTCCGTTTGGTTTTTAGATGAAGTTATTTCCTTTACTACAGTAGGCCTCAAAGCAGTCCAAATCTCCAATCGCAGATTCTACAAAAAGATTGTTTACAACCTGCTCTATCTATAGGAATGTTCAACTCTGTGAGTGGAATGCAATCATCACATAGTAGTTTCTGAGAATGCTTCCATCTAGTTTTTATGTGAAGATTTTCCTTTTCCACCACAGACCTCAAAGCCCTCCAAATGTCCACTTGCAGATTCTAGAAAAAGAGGGTTTCAGAGCTGCTCTATCAAGAGGAAAGTTCAGTTCCTGAAGTGGAACACAAACATCACAAAGCAGTTTCTGAGAATGCTCCTGCTTAGTTTTTCTGTGAAGATGAACCCGTTTCCAACGAAATGTTCACAGAGGTCCACATATCCACTTGCAGAATACAAAGAAAGAGAGTTTCAAAACTGGTCCATCAGCAGGATTGTTCACCTCTGTGAGTTGAATGCAGTCATCACAGAAAACATTCTGAGAATGCTTCTGTCTAGGTTTGATGTGAAGATATACCCGTTTCGAAGGAAGGCCACAAAGTGGTCCAAATATCCACTTGCAGATTCTACAAAAAGAGTGTTTGAAAGCTGAACTATGAAAGCAAGGTTCAACTCTGTGAGTTGAATGAAAACATCACAAAGAAGTTTCTCACAATGCTTCCCTGTAGTTCTGGGAAGTTTATCCCGTTTCCAACGAAATCCTCAGAGAAGTCCAAATATCCACTTGCAGATGCTACAGAAAGTGGGTTTGGAAACTGCTCTATCTAAAGGAATGTTCAGCTCTGTTAGTTCAATCCAATGATCACTAAGAGTTGTCTGTGAATGCTTCCGTTTGGTTTTTAGATGAAGTTATTTCCTTTACTACAGTAGGCCTCAAAGCAGTCCAAATCTCCAATCGCAGATTCTACAAAAAGATTGTTTACAACCTGCTCTATCTATAGGAATGTTCAACTCTGTGAGTCGAATGCATTCATCACAAAGTAGTTTCTGAGAATGCTTCCATCTAGCTTTTATGTGAAGATTTTCCTTTTCCACCACAGGCCTCAAAGCCCTCCAAATGTCCACTTGCAGATTCTAGAATAAGAGGGTTTCAGAGCTGCTCTGTCAAGAGGAAAGTTCAATTCTTGAAGTGGAACACAAACATCACAAAGCAGTTTCTGAGAATGCTCCTGTTTAGTTTTTCTGTGAAGATGAACCCGTTTCCAACGAAATCTTCACAGAGGTCCACATATCCACTTGCAGAATCGAAAGAAAGAGAGTTTCAAAACTGCTCCATCAGCAGGATTGTTAACCTCTGTGAGTTGAATGCAGTCATCACAGGAAACATTCTGAGAATGCTTCTGTCTAGGTTTGATGTGAAGATATACCCGTTTCGAGGAAGGCCACAAAGTGGTCCAAATATCCACTTGCAGATTCTACAAAAAGAGTGTTTGAAAGCTGAACTATGAAAGCAAGGTTCAACTCTGTGAGTTGAATGCAAACATCACAAAGAAGTTTCTCAGAATGCTTCCGTGTAGTTCTGGGAAGTTTATCCCGTTTCCAACGAAATCCTCAGAGAGGTCCAAATATCCACTTGCAGATTCTACAGAAAGTGTGTTTGGAAACTGCGCCATCTAAAGGAATGTTCAGCTCTGTTAGTTCAATCCAATGATCACTAAGAATTGTCTGTGAATGCTTCCGTTTGGTTTTTAGATGAAGTTATTTCCTTTACTACAGTAGGCCTCAAAGCAGTCCAAATCTCCAATCGCAGATTCTACAAAAAGATTGTTTACAACCTGCTCTATCTATAGGAATGTTCAACTCTGTGAGTCGAATGCAATCATCACAAAGTAGTTTCTGAGAATGCTTCTATCTAGGTTTTATGTGAAGATATTTCCTTTTCCACCACAGGCCTCAAAGCCCTCCAAATGTCCACTTGCAGATTCTAGAAAAAGAGGGTTTCAGAGCTGTTCTGTCAAGAGGAAAGTTCAATTCTTGAAGTGGAACACAAACATCACAAAGCAGTTTCTGAGAATGCTCCTGTTTAGTTTTTCTGTGAAGATGAACCCGTTTCCAACGAAATCTTCACAGAGGTCCACATATCCACTTGCAGAATCCAAAGAAAGAGAGTTTCAAAACTGCTCCATCAACAGGATTGTTCACCTCTGTGAGTTGAATGCAGTCATCACAGGAAACATTCTGAGAATGCTTCTGTCTAGGTTTGATGTGAAGATATACCCTTTTCAAAGGAAGGCCACAAAGTGGTCCAAATATCCACTTGCAGATTCTACAAAAAGAGTGTTTGAAAGCTGAACTATGAAAGCAAGGTTCAACTCTGTGAGTTGAATGCAAACATCACAAAGAAGTTTCTCACAATGCTTCCGTGTAGTTCTGTGAAGTTTATCCCGTTTCCAACGAAATCCTCAGAGAAGTCCAAATATCCACTTGCAGATTCTACAGAAAGTGTGTTTGGAAACTGCTCTATCTAAAGGAATGTTCAGCTCTGTTAGTTCAATCCAATGATCACTAAGAATTGTCTGTGAATGCTTCCGTTTGGTTTTTAGATGAAGTTATTTCCTTTACTACAGTAGGCCTCAAAGCAGTCCAAATCTCCAATCGCAGATTCTACAAAAAGATTGTTTACAACCTGCTCTATCTATAGGAATGTTCAACTCTGTGAGTCGAATGCAATCATCACAAAGTAGTTTCTGAGAATGCTTCCATCTAGTTTTTATGTGAAGATTTTCCTTTTCCACCACAGGCCTCAAAGCCCTCCAAATGTCCACTTGCAGATTCTAGAAAAAGAGGGTTTCAGAGCTGCTCTGTCAAGAGGAAAGTTCAATTCTTGAAGTGGAACACAAACATCACAAAGCAGTTTCTGAGAATGCTTCTGTTTAGTTTTTCTGTGAAGATGAACCCGTTTCCAACGAAATCTTCACAGAGGTCCACATATCCACTTGCAGAATCCAAAGAAAGAGAGTTTCAAAACTGCTCCATCAGCAGGATTGTTCACCTCTGTGAGTTGAATGCAGTCATCACAGGAAACATTCTGAGAATCCTTCTGTCTAGGTTTGATGTGAAGATATACCCTTTTCAAAGGAAGGCCACAAAGTGGTCCAAATATCCACTTGCAGATTCTACAAAAAGAGTGTTTGAAAGCTGAACTATGAAAGCAAGGTTCAACTCTGTGAGTTGAATGCAAACATCACAAAGAAGTTTCTCACAATGCTTCCGTGTAGTTCTGGGAAGTTTATCCCGTTTCCAACGAAATCCTCAGAGAGGTCCAAATATCCAATTGCAGATTCTACAGAAAGTGTGTTTGGAAACTGCGCCATCTAAAGCAATGTTCAGCTCTGTTAGTTCAATGCAATGATCACTAAGAATTGTCTGTGAATGCTTCCGTTTGGTTTTTAGATGCAGTTATTTCCTTTACTACAGTAGGCCTCAAAGCAGTCCAAATCTCCAATCGCAGATTCTAGAAAAAGATTGTTTACAACCTGCTCTATCTATAGGAATGTTCAACTCTGTGAGTCAAATGCAATCATCACAAAGTAGTTTCTGAGAATGCTTCCGTCTAGTTTTTATGTGAAGATTTTCCTTTTCCACCACAGGCCTCAAAGCCCTCCAAATGTCCACTTGCAGATTGTAGAATAAGAGGGTTTCAGAGCTGCTCTGTCAAGAGGAAAGTTCAATTCCTGAAGTGGAACACAAACGTCACAAAGCAGTTTCTGAGAATGCTTCTGTTTAGTTTTTCTCTGAAGATGAACCCGTTTCCAACGAAATCTTCACAGCGGTCCACATATCCACTTGCAGAATCCAAAGAAAGAGAGTTTCAAAACTGCTCCATCAGCAGGATTGTTCACCTCTGTGAGTTGAATGCAGTCATCACAGGAAACATTCTGAGAATGCTTCTGTCAAGGTTTGATGTGAAGATATACCCGTTTCGAAGGAAGGCCACAAAGTGGTCCAAATATCCACTTGCAGATTCTACAAAAAGAGTGTTTGAAAGCTGAACTATGAAAGCAAGGTTCAACTCTGTGAGTTGAATGCAACCATCACAAAGAAGTTTCTCAGAATACTTCCGTGTAGTTCTGGGAAGTTTATCCCGTTTCCAACGAAATCCTCAGAGAAGTCCAAATATCCACTTGCAGATTCTACAGAAAGTGGGTTTGGAAACTACTCCATCTAAAGGAATGTTCAGCTCTGTTAGTTCAATCCAATGATCACTAAGAATTGTCTGTGAATGCTTCCGTTTGGTTTTTAGATGAAGTTATTTCCTTTACTACAGTAGGCCTCAAAGCAGTCCAAATCTCCAATCGCAGATTCTACAAAAAGATTGTTTACAACCTGCTCTATCTATAGGAATGTTCAACTCTGTGAGTCGAATGCAATAATCACAAAATAGTTTCTGAGAATGCTTCCATCTAGTTTTTATGTGAAGATTTTCCTTTTCCACCACAGGCCTCAAACCCTCCATATGTCCACTTGCAGATTCTAGAAAAAGAGGGTTTCAGAGCTGCTCTGTCAACAGGAAAGTTCAATTCTTGAAGTGGAACACAAACATAACAAAGCAGTTTCTGAGAATGCTCCTGTTTAGTTTTCCTGTGCAGTTGAACCCGTTTCCAACGAAATCTTCACAGAGGTCCACATATCCACTTGCAGAATCCAAAGAAAGAGAGTTTCAAAACTGCTCCATCAACAGGATTGTTCACCTCTGTGAGTTGAATGCAGTCATCACAGGAAACATTCTGAGAATGCTTCTGTCTAGGTTTGATGTGAAGATATACCCGTTTCGAAGGAAGGCCACAAAGTGGTCCAAATATCCACTTGCAGATTCTACAAAAAGAGTGTTTGAAAGCTGAACTATGAAAGCAAGGTTCAACTCTGTGAGTTGAATGCAAACATCACAAAGAAGTTTCTCAGAATGCTTCCCTGTAGTTCTGGGAAGTTTATCCCGTTTCCAACGAAATCCTCAGAGAAGTCCAAATATCCTCTTGCAGATTCTACAGAAAGTGTGTTTGGAAACTGCTCCACCTAAAGGAATGTTCAGCTCTGTTAGTTCAATCCAATGATCACTAAGAATTGTCTGTGAATGCTTCCGTTTGGTTTTTAGATGAAGTTATTTCCTTTACTACAGTAGGCCTCAAAGCAGTCCAAATCTCCAATCGCAGATTCTACAAAAAGATTGTTTACAACCTGCTCTATGTATAGGAATGTTCAACTCTGTGAGTCGAATGCAATCATCACAAAGTAGTTTCTGAGAATGCTTCCATCTAGTTTTTATGTGAAGATTTTCCTTTTCCACCACAGGCCTCAAAGCCCTCCAAATGTCCACTTGCAGATTCTAGAAAAAGAGGGTTTCAGAGCTGCTCTGTCAAGAGGAAAGTTCAATTCTTGAAGTGGAACACAAACATCACAAAGCAGTTTCTGAGAATGCTTCTGTTTAGTTTTTCTGTGAAGATGAACCCGTTTCCAACGAAATCTTCACAGAGGTCCACATATCCACTTGCAGAATCCAAAGAAAGAGAGTTTCAAAACTGCTCCATCAGCAGGATTGTTCACCTTTGTGAGTTGAATGCAGTCATCACAGGAAACATTCTGAGAATGCTTCTGTCTAGGTTTGATGTGAAGATATACCCGTTTCGAAGGAAGGCCACAAAGTGGTCCAAATATCCACTTGCAGATTCTACAAAAAGAGTGTTTGAAAGCTGAACTATGAAAGCAAGGTTCAACTCTGTGAGTTGAATGCAAACATCACAAAGAAGTTTCTCAGAATGCTTCCGTGTAGTTTTGGGAAGTTTATCCCGTTTCCAACGAAATCCTCAGAGAAGTCCAAATATCCACTTGCAGATTCTACATAAAGTGTGTTTGGAAACTGCGCCATCTAAAGGAATGTTCAGCTCTGTTAGTTCAATGCAATGATCACTAAGAATTGTCTGTGAATGCTTCCGTTTGGTTTTTAGATGAAGTTATTTCCTTTACTACAGTAGGCCTCAAAGCAGTCCAAATCTCCAATCGCAGATTCTACAAAAAGATTGTTTACAACCTGCTCTATCTATAGGAATGTTCAACTCTGTGAGTCGAATGCAATCATCACAAAGTAGTTTCTGAGAATGCTTCCATCTAGTTTTTATGTGAAGATTTTCCTTTTCCACCACAGGCCTCAAAGCCCTCCAAATGTCCACTTGCAGATTCTAGAATAAGAGGGTTTCAGAGCTGCTCTGTCAAGAGGAAAGTTCAATTCCTGAAGTGGAACACAAACATCACAAAGCAGTTTCTGAGAATGTTTCTGTTTAGTTTTTCTGTGAAGATGAACCCGTTTCCAACGAAATCTTCACAGAGGTCCACATATCCACTTGCAGAATCCAAAGAAAGAGAGTTTCAAAACTGCTCCATCAGCAGGATTGTTCACCTCTGTGAGTTGAATGCAGTCATCACAGGAAACATTCTGAGAATGCTTCTGTCTAGGTTTGATGTGAAGATATACCCGTTTCGAAGGAAGGCCAGAAAGTGGTCCAAATATCCACTTGCAGATTCTACAAAAAGAGTGTTTGAAAGCTGAACTATGAAAGCAAGGTTCAACTCTGTGAGTTGAATGCAAACATCACAAAGAAGTTTCTCAGAATGCTTCCGTGTAGTTCTGGGAAGTTTATCCCGTTTCCAACGAAATCCTCAGAGAGGTCCAAATATCCACTTGCAGATTCTACAGAAAGTGTGTTTGGAATCTGCGCCATCTAAAGGAATGTTCAGCTCTGTTAGTTCAATCCAATGATCACTAAGAATTGTCTGTGAATGCTTCCGTTTGGTTTTTAGATGAAGTTATTTCCTTTACTACAGTAGGCCTCAAAGCAGTCCAAATCTCCAATCGCAGATTCCACAAAAAGATTGTTTTCAACCTGCTCTATCTATAGGAATGTTCAACTCTGTGAGTCGAATACAATCATCACAAAGTAGTTTCTGAGAATGCTTCCATCTAGTTTTTATGTGAAGATTTTCCTTTTCCACCACAGGCCTCAAAGCCCTCCAAATGTCCACTTGCAGATTCTAGAATAAGAGGGTTTTAGAGCTGCTCTGTCAAGAGGAAAGTTCAATTCCTGAAGTGGAACACAAACATCACAAAGCAGTTTCTGAGAATGCTTCTGTTTAGTTTTTCTGTGAAGATGAACCCGTTTCCAACGAAATCTTCACAGAGGTCCACATATCCACTTGCAGAATCCAAAGAAAGAGAGTTTCAAAACTGCTCCATCAGCAGGATTGTTCACCTCTGTGAGTTGAATGCAGTCATCACAGGAAACATTCTGAGAATGCTTCTGTCTAGGTTTGATGTGAAGATATACCCGTTTCGAAGGAAGGCCACAAAGTGGTCCAAATATCCACTTGCAGATTCTACAAAAAGAGTGTTTGAAAGCTGAACTATGAAAGCAAGGTTCAACTCTGTGAGTTGAATGCAAACATCACAAAGAAGTTTCTCACAATGCTTCCGTGTAGTTCTGGGAAGTTTATCCCGTTTCCAACGAAATCCTCAGAGAGGTCCAAATATCCACTTGCAGATTCTACAGAAAGTGTGTTTGGAAACTGCGCCATCTAAAGGAATGTTCAGCTCTGTTAGTTCAATGCAATGATCACTAAGAATTGTCTGTGAATGCTTCCGTTTGGTTTTTAGATGAAGTTATTTCCTTTACTACAGTAGGCCTCAAAGCAGTCCAAATCTCCAATCGCAGATTCTACAAAAAGATTGTTTACAACCTGCTCTATCTATAGGAATGTTCAACTCTGTGAGTCGAAAGCCATCATCACAAAGTAGTTTCTGAGAATGCTTCCATCTGGTTTTTATGTGAAGATTTTCCTTTTCCACCACAGGCCTCAAAGCCCTCCAAATGTCCACTTGCAGATTCTAGAAAAAGAGGGTTTCAGAGCTGCTCTGTCAAGAGGAAAGTTCAATTCTTGAAGTGGAACACAAACATCACAAAGCAGTTTCTGAGAATGCTTCTGTTTAGTTTTTCTGTGAAGATGAACCCGTTTCCAACGAAATCTTCACAGAGGTCCACATATCCACTTGCAGAATCCAAAGAAAGAGAGTTTCAAAACTGCTCCATCAACAGGATTGTTCACCTCTGTGAGTTGAATGCAGTCATCACAGGAAACATTCTGAGAATGCTTCTGTCTAGGTTTGATGTGAAGATATACCCGTTTCGAAGGAAGGCCACAAAGTGGTCCAAATATCCACTTGCAGATTCTACAAAAAGAGTGTTTGAAAGCTGAACTATGAAAGCAAGGTTCAACTCTGTGAGTTGAATGCAAACATCACAAAGAAGTTTCTCACAATGCTTCCGTGTAGTTCTGGGAAGTTTATCCCGTTTCCAACGAAATCCTCAGAGAAGTTCAAATATCCACTTGCAGATTCTACAGAAAGTGGGTTTGGAAACTGCTCCATCTAAAGGAATGTTCAGCTCTGTTAGTTCAATCCAATGATAACTAAGAATTGTCTGTGAATGCTTCTGTTTGGTTTTTAGATGAAGTTATTTCCTTTACTACAGTAGGCCTCAAAGCAGTCCAAATCTCCAATCGCAGATTCTACAAAAATTTGTTTACAACCTGCTCTATCTATAGGAATGTTCAACTCTGTGAGTCGAATGCAATCATCACAAAGTAGTTTCTGAGAATGCTTCCATCTAGTTTTTATGTGAAGATTTTCCTTTTCCACCACAGGCCTCAAAGCCCTCCAAATGTCCACTTGCAGACTCTAGAAAAAGACGGTTTCAGAGCTGCTCTGTCAAGAGGAAAGTTCAATTCTTGAAGTGGAACACAAACATCACAAAGCAGTTTCTGAGAATGCTTCTGTTTAGTTTTCTGTGAAGATGAACCCGTTTCCAACGAAATCTTCACAGAGGTCCAAATATCCACTTGCAGAATCCAAAGAAAGAGAGTTTCAAAACTGCTCCATCAGCAGGATTGTTCACCTCTGTGAGTTGAATGCAGTCATCACAGGAAACATTCTGAGAATGCTTCTGTCTAGGTTTGATGTGAAGATATACCCGTTTTGAAGGAAGGCCACAAAGTGGTCCAAATATCCACTTGCAGATTCTACAAAAAGAGTGTTTGAAAGCTGAACTATGAAAGCAAGGTTTAACTCTGTGAGTTGAATGCAAATATCACAAAGAAGTTTCTCAGAATGCTTCCGTGTAGTTCTGGGAAGTTTATCCCGTTTCCAACGAAATCCTCAGAGAGGTCCAAATATCCACTTGCAGATTCTACAGACAGTGTGTTTGGAAACTGCTCCATCTAAAGGAATGTTCAGCTCTGTTAGTTCAATCCAATGATCACTAAGAATTGTCTGTGAATGCTTCCGTTTGGTTTTTAGATGAAGTTATTTCCTTTACTACAGTAGGCCTCAAAGCAGTCCAAATCTCCAATCGCAGATTCTACAAAAAGATTGTTTACAACCTGCTCTATCTATAGGAATGTTCAACTCTGTGAGTCGAATGCAATCATCACAAAGTAGTTTCTGAGAATGCTTCCATCTAGTTTTTATGTGAAGATTTTCCTTTTGCACCACAGGCCTCAAAGCCCTCCAAATGTCCACTTGCAGATTCTAGAAAAAGAGGGTTTCAGAGCTGCTCTGTCAAGAGGAAAGTTCAATTCTTGATGTGGAACACAAACATCACAAAGCAGTTTCTGAGAATGCTCCTGTTTAGTTTTTCTGTGAAGATGAACCCGTTTCCAACGAAATCTTCACAGAGGTCCACATATCCACTTGCAGAATCCAAAGAAAGAGAGTTTCAAAACTGCTCCATCAGCAGGATTGTTAACCTCTGTGAGTTGAATGCAGTCATCACAGGAAACATTCTGAGAATGCTTCTGTCTAGGTTTGATGTGAAGATATACCCGTTTCGAAGGAAGGCCACAAAGTGGTCCAAATATCCACTTGCAGATTCCACAAAAAGAGTGTTTGAAAGCTGAACTATGAAAGCAAGGTTCAACTCTGTGAGTTGAATGCTAACATCACAGAGAAGTTTCTCACAATGCTTCCGTGTAGTTCTGGGAAGTTTATCCCGTTTCCAACGAAATCCTCAGAGAAGTCCAAATATCCACTTGCAGATTCTACAGAAAGTGGGTTTGGAAACTGCTCCATCTAAAGGAATGTTCAGCTCTCTTAGTTCAATCCAATGATCACTAAGAATTGTCTGTGAATGCTTCCGTTTGGTTTTTAGATGAAGTTATTTCCTTTACTACAGTAGGCCTCAAAGCAGTCCAAATCTCCAATCGCAGATTCTACAAAAAGATTGTTTACAACCTGCTCTATCTATAGGAATGTTCAACTCTGTGAGTCGAATGCAATCATCACAAAGTAGTTTCTGAGAATGCTTCCATCTAGTTTTTATGTGAAGATTTTCCTTTTCCACCACAGGCCTCAAAGCCCTCCAAATGTCCACTTGCAGATTCTAGAATAAGAGGGTTTCAGAGCTGCTCTGTCAAGAGGAAAGTTCAATTCTTGAAGTGGAACACAAACATCACAAAGCAGTTTCTGAGAATGCTCCTGTTTAGTTTTTCTGTGAAGATGAACCCGTTTCCAACGAAATCTTCACAGAGTTCCACATATCCACTTGCAGAATCCAAACAAAGGGAGATTCAAAACTGCTCCATCAACAGGATTGTTCACCTCTGTGAGTTGAATGCAGTTATCACAGGAAACATTCTGAGAATGCTTCTGTCTAGGTTTGATGTGAAGATATACCCGTTTCGAAGGAAGGCCACAAAGTGGTCCAAATATCCACTTTCTGTAGATTCTACAAAAAGAGAGTTTGAAAGCTGAACTATGAAAGCAAGGTTCAACTCTGTGAGTTGAATGCAAACATCACAAAGAAGTTTCTCAGAATGCTTCCGTGTAGTTCTGGGAAGTTTATCCCGTTTCCAACGAAATCCTCAGAGAAGTCCAAATATCCACTTTCAGATTCTACAGAAAGTGGGTTTGGAAACTGCTCCATCTAAAGGAATGTTCAGCTCTGTTAGTTCAATGCAATGATCACTAAGAATTGTCTGTGAATGCTTCCGTTAGGTTTTTAGATGAAGTTATTTCCTTTACTACAGTTGGCCTCAAAGCAGTCCAAATCTCCAATCGCAGATTCTACAAAAAGATTGTTTACAACCTGCTCTATCTATAGGAATGTTCAACTCTGTGAGTCGAATGCAATCATCACAAAGTAGTTTCTGAGAATGCTTCCATCTAGTTTTTATGTGAAGATTTTCCTTTTCCACCACAGGCCTCAAAGCCCTCCAAATGTCCACTTGCAGATTCTAGAATAAGAGGGTTTCAGAGCTGCTATGTCAAGAGGAAAGTTCAATTCCTGAAGTGGAACACAAACATCACAAAGCAGTTTCTGAGAATGCTTCTGTTTAGTTTTTCTGTGAAGATGAACCCGTTTCCAACGAAATCTTCACAGAGGTCCACATGTCTACTTGCAGAATCCAAACAAAGAGAGTTTCAAAACTGCTCCATCAGCAGGATTGTTCAACTCTGTGAGTTGAATGCAGTCATCACAGGAAACATTCTGAGAATGCTTCTGTCTAGGTTTGATGTGAAGATATACCCGTTTCGAAGGAAGGCCACAAAGTGGTCCAAATATCCACTTGCAGATTCTATAAAAAGAGTGTTTGAAAGCTGAACTATGAAAGCAAGGTTCAACTCTGTGAGTTGAATGCAAACATCACAAAGAAGTTTCTCACAATGCTTCCGTGTAGTTCTGGGAAGTTTATCCCGTTTCCAACGAAATCCTCAGAGAGGTCCAAATATCCACTTGCAGATTCTACAGAAAGTGTGTTTGGAAACTGCGCCATCTAAAGGAATGTTCAGCTCTGTTAGTTCAATGCAATGATCACTAAGAATTGTCTGTGAATGCTTCCGTTTGGTTTTTAGATGAAGTTATTTCCTTTACTACAGTAGGCCTCAAAGCAGTCCAAATCTCCAATCGCAGATTCTACAAAAAGATTGTTTACAACCTGATCTATCTATAGGAATGTTCAACTCTGTGAGTCGAATGCAATCATCACAAAGTAGTTTCTGAGAATGCTTCCATCTAGTTTTTATGTGAAGATTTTCCTTTTCCACCACAGGCCTCAAAGCCCTCCAAATGTCCACTTGCAGATTCTAGAATAAGAGGGTTTCAGAGCTGCTCTGTCAAGAGGAAAGTTCAATTCCTGAAGTGGAACACAAACATCACAAAGCAGTTTCTGAGAATGCTTCTGTTTAGTTTTTCTGTGAAGATGAACCCGTTTCCAACGAAATCTTCACAGAGGTCCACATATCAACTTGCAGAATCCAAAGAAAGAGAGTTTCAAAAGTGCTCCATCAACAGGATTGTTCACCTCTGTGAGTTGAATGCAGTCATCACAGGAAACATTCTGAGAATGCTTCTGTCTAGGTTTGATGTGAAGATATACCCGTTTCGAAGGAAGGACACAAAGTGGTCCAAATATCCACTTGCAGATTCTACAAAAAGAGTGTTTGAAAGCTGAACTATGAAAGCAAGGTTCAACTCTGTGAGTTGAATGCAAACATCACAAAGAAGTTTCTCAGAATGCTTCCGTGTAGTTCTGGGAAGTTTATCCCGTTTCCAACGAAATCCTCAGAGAGGTCCAAATATCCACTTGCAGATTCTACAGAAAGTGTGTTTGGAAACTGCTCCATCTAAAGGAATGTTCAGCTCTGTTAGTTCAATCCAATGATCACTAATAATTGTCTGTGAATGCTTCCGTTTGGTTTTTAGATGAAGTTATTTCCTTTACTACAGTAGGCCTCAAAGCAGTCCAAATCTCCAATCGCAGATTCTACAAAAAGATTGTTTACAACCTGCTCTATCTATAGGAATGTTCAACTCTATGAGTCGAATGCAATCATCACAAAGTAGTTTCTGAGAATGCTTCCATCTCGTTTTTATGTGAAGATTTTCCTTTTCCACCACAGGCCTCAAAGCCCTCCAAATGTCCACTTGCAGATTCTAGAATAAGAGGGTTTCAGAGCTGCTCTGTCAAGAGGAAAGTTCAATTCTTGAAGTGGAACACAAACATCACAAAGCAGTTTCTGAGAATGCTCCTGTTTAGTTTTTCCGCGAAGATGAACCCGTTTCCAACGAAATCTTCACAGAGGTCCACATATCCACTTGCAGAATCCAAAGAAAGAGAGTTTCAAAACTGCTCCATCAGCAGGATTGTTCACCTCTGTGAGTTGAATGCAGTCATCACAGGAAACATTCTGAGAATGCTTCTGTCTAGGTTTGATGTGAAGATATACCCGTTTCGAAGGAAGGCCACAAAGTGGTCCAAATATCCACTTGCAGATTCTACAAAAAGAGTGTTTGAAAGCTGAACTATGAAAGCAAGGTTCAACTCTGTGAGTTGAATGCAAACATCACAAAGAAGTTTCTCAGCATGCTTCCGTGTAGTTCTGGGAAGTTTATCCCGTTTCCAACGAAATCCTCAGAGAAGTCCAAATATCCACTTGCAGATTCTACAGAAAGTGGGTTTGGAAACTGCTCCATCTAAAGGAATGTTCAGCTCTGTTAGTTCAATCCAATGATCACTAAGAATTGTCTGTGAATGCTTCCGTTTGGTTTTTAGATGAAGTTATTTCCTTTACTACAGTAGGCCTCAAAGCAGTCCAAATCTCCAATCGCAGATTCTACAAAAAGATTGTTTACAACCTGCTCTATCTATAGGAATGTTCAACTCTGTGAGTCGAATGCAATCATCACAAAGTAGTTTCTGAGAATGCTTCCATCTAGTTTTTATGTGAAGATTTTCCTTTTCCACCACAGGCCTCAAAGCCCTCCAAATGTGCACTTGCAGATTCTAGAAAAAGAGGGTTTCAGAGCTGCTCTGTCAAGAGGAAAGTTCAATTCCTGAAGTGGAACACAAACATCACAAAGCAGTTTCTGAGAATGCTTCTGTTTAGTTTTTCTGTGAAGATGAACCCGTTTCCAACGAAATCTACACAGAGGTCCACATATCCACTTGCAGAAGCCAAAGAAAGAGAGTTTCAAAACTGCTCCATGAGCAGGATTGTTCACATCTGTGAGTTGAATGCAGTCATCACAGGAAACATTCTGAGAATGCTTCTGTCTAGGTTTGATGTGAAGATATACCCGTTTCGAAGGAAGGCCACAAAGTGGTCCAAATATCCACTTGCAGATTCTACAAAAAGAGTGTTTGAAAGCTGAACTATGAAAGCAAGGTTCAACTCTGTGAGTTGAATGCAAACATCACAAAGAAGTTTCTCAGAATGCTTCCGTGTAGTTCTGGGAAGTTTATCCCGTTTCCAACGAAATCCTCAGAGAAGTCCAAATATCCACTTGCAGATTCTACAGAAAGTGTGTTTGGAAACTGCTCAATCTAAAGGAATGTTCAGCTCTGTTAGTTCAATGCAATGATCACTAAGAATTGTCTGTGAATGCTTTCCGTTTGGTTTTTAGATGAAGTTATTTCCTTTACTACAGTAGGCCTCAAAGCAGTCCAAATCTCCAATCGCAGATTCTACAAAAAGATTGTTTACAACCTGCTCTATCTATAGGAATGTTCAACTCTGTGAGTCGAATGCAATCATCACAAAGTAGTTTCTGAGAATGCTTCCATCTAGTTTTTATGGGAAGATTTTCCTTTTCCAGCACAGGCCTCAAAGCCCTCCAAATGTCCACTTGCAGATTCTAGAAAAAGAGGGTTTCAGAGCTGCTCTGTCAAAAGGAAAGTTCAATTCTTCAAGTGGAACACAAACATCACAAAGCAGTTTCTGAGAATGCTCCTGTTAATTTTTCTGTGAAGATGAACCCGTTTCCAACGAAATCTTCACAGAGGTCCACATATCCACTTGCAGAATCAAAAGAAAGGGAGTTTCAAAACGGCTCCATCAACAGGATTGTTCACCTCTGTGAGTTGAATGCAGTCATCACAGGAAACATTCTGAGAATGCTTCTGTCTAAGTTTGATGTGAAGATATACCCGTTTCGAAGGAAGGCCACAAAGTGGTCAAAATATCCACTTGCAGATTCTACAAAAAGAGTGTTTGAAAGCTGAACTATGAAAGCAAGGTTCAACTCTGTGAGTTGAATGCAAACATCACAAAGAAGTTTCTCAGAATGCTTCCGTGTAGTTCTGGGAAGTTTATCCCGTTTCCAACGAAATCCTCAGAGAAGTCCAAATATCCACTTGCAGATTCTGCAGAAAGTGTGTTTGGAAACTGCTCCATCTAAAGGAATGTTCAGCTCTGTTAGCCCAATCCAATGATCACTAAGAATTGTCTGTGAATGCTTCCGTTTGGTTTTTAGATGAAGTTATTTCCTTTACTACAGTAGGCCTCAAAGCAGTCCAAATCTCCAATCGCAGATTGTACAAAAACATTGTTTACAACCTGCTCTATCTATAGTAATGTTCAACTCTGTGAGTCGAATGCAATCATCACAAAGTAGTTTCTGAGAATGCTTCCATCTAGTTTTTATGGGAAGATTTTCCTTTTCCACCACAGGCCTCAAAGCCCTCCAAATGTCCACTTGCAGATTCTAGAAAAAGAGGGTTTCAGAGCTGCTCTGTCAAGAGGAAAGTTCAATTCTTGAAGTGGAACACAAACATCACAAAGCAGTTTCTGAGAATGCTCCTGTTTAGTTTTTCTGTGAAGATGAACCCGTTTCCAACGAAATCTTCACAGAGGTCCACATATCCAATTGCAGAATCCAAAGAAAGAGAGTTTCAAAACTGCTCCATCAGCAGGATTGTTCACCTCTGTGAGTTGAATGCAGTCATCACAGGAAACATTCTGAGAATGCTTCTGTCTAGGTTTGATGTGAAGATATACCCGTTTCGAAGGAAGGCCACAAAGTGGTCCAAATATCCACTTGCAGATTCTACAAAAAGAGTGTTTGAAAGCTGAACTATGAAAGCAAGGTTCAACTCTGTGAGTTGAATGTAAACATCCAAAGAAGTTTCTCAGAATGCTTCCGTGTAGTTCTGGGAAGTTTATCCCGTTTCCAACGAAATCCTCAGAGAAGTCCAAATATCCACTTGCAGATTCTACAGAAAGTGTGTTTGGAAACTGTTCCATCTACAGGAATGTTCAGCTCTGTTAGTTCAATCCAATGATCACTAAGAATTGTCTGTGAATGCTTCCGTTTGGTTTTTAGATGAAGTTATTTCCTTTACTACAGTAGGCCTCAAAGCAGTCCAAATCTCCAATCGCAGATTCTACAAAAAGATTGTTTACAACCTGCTCTATCTTTAGGAATGTTCAACTCTGTGAGTCGAATGCAATCATCACAAAGTAGTTTCTGAGAATGCTTCCATCTAGTTTTTATGTGAAGATTTTCCTTTTCCACCACAGGCCTCAAAGCCCTCCAAATGTCCACTTGCAGATTCTAGAATAAGAGGGTTTCAGAGCTGCTCTGTCAAGAGGAAAGTTCAATTCCTGAAGTGGAACACAAACATCACAAAGCAGTTTCTGAGAATGCTCCTGTTTAGTTTTTCTGTGAAGATGAACCCGTTTCCAACGAAATCTTCACAGAGGTCCACATATCCACTTGCAGAATCCAAAGAAAGAGAGTTTCAAAACTGCTCCATCAGCAGGATTGTTCACCTCTGTGAGTTGAATGCAGTCATCACAGGAAACATTCTGAGAATGCTTCTGTCTAGGTTTGATGTTTAGATATACCCGTTTCGAAGGAAGGACACAAAGTGGTCCAAATATCCACTTGCAGATCCTACAAAAAGAGTGTTTGAAAGCTGAACTATGAAAGCAAGGTTCAACTCTGTGAGTTGAATGCAAACATCACAAAGAAGTTTCTCAGAATACTTCCGTGTAGTTCTGGGAAGTTTATCCCGTTTCCAACGAAATCCTCAGAGAAGTCCAAATATCCACTTGCAGATTCTACAGAAAGTGTGTTTGGAAAATGCTCCATCTAAAGGAATGTTCAGCTCTGTTAGTTCAATCCAATGATCACTAAGAATTGTCTGTGAATGCTTCCGTTTGGTTTGTAGATGAAGTTATTTCCTTTACTACAGTAGGCCTCAAAGCAGTCCAAATCTCCAATCGCAGATTCTACAAAAAGATTGTTTACAACCTGCTCTATCTATAGGAGTGTTCAACTCTGTGAGTCGAATGCAATCATCACAAAGTAGTTTCTGAGAATGCTTCCATCTAGTTTTTATGTGAAGATTTTCCTTTTCCACCACAGGCCTCAAAGCCCTCCAAATGTCCACTTGCAGATTCTAGAAAAAGAGGGTTTCAGAGCTGCTCTGTCAAGAGGAAAGTTCAATTCCTGAAGTGGAACACAAACATCACAAAGCAGTTTCTGAGAATGCTTCTGTTTAGTTTTTCTGTGAAGATGAACTCGTTTCCAACGAAATCTTCACAGAGGTCCACATATCCACTTGCAGAATCCAAAGAAAGGGAGTTTCAAAACTGCTCCATCAGCAGGATTGTTCACCTCTGTGAGTTGAATGCAGTCATCACAGGAAACATTCCGAGAATGCTTCTGTCTAGGTTTGATGTGAAGATATACCCGTTTCGAAGGAAGGCCACAAAGTGGTCCAAATATCCACTTGCAGATTCTACAAAAAGAGTGTTTGAAAGCTGAACTATGAAAGCAAGGTTCAACTCTGTGAGTTGAATGCAAACATCACAAAGAAGTTTCTCAGCATGCTTCCGTGTAGTTCTGGGAAGTTTATCCCGTTTCCAACGAAATCCTCAGAGAGGTCCAAATATCCACTTGCAGATTCTACAGAAAGTGTGTTTGGAAACTGCGCCATCTAAAGCAATGTTCAGCTCTGTTAGTTCAATGCAATGATCACTAAGAATTGTCTGTGAATGCTTCCGTTTGGTTTTTAGATGAAGTTATTTCCTTTACTACAGTAGGCCTCAAAGCAGTCCAAATCTCCAATCGCAGATTCTACAAAAAGATTGTTTACAACCTGCTCTATCTATAGGAATGTTCAACTCTGTGAGTCGAATGCAGTCATCACAAAGTAGTTTCTGAGAATGCTTCCATCTAGTTTTTATGTGAAGATTTTCCTTTTCCACCACAGGCCTCAAAGCCCTCCAAATGTCCACTTGCAGATTCTAGAAAAAGAGGGTTTCAGAGCTGCTCTGTCAAGAGGAAAGTTCAATTCTTGAAGTGGAACACAAACATCACAAAGCAGTTTCTGAGAATGCTTCTGTTTAGTTTTTCTGTGAAGATGAACCCGTTTCCAACGAAATCTTCACAGAGGTCCACATATCCACTTGCAGAATCCAAAGAAAGAGAGTTTCAAAACTGCTCCATCAGCAGGATTGTTCACCTCTGTGAGTTGAACGCAGTCATCACAGGAAACATTCTGAGAATGCTTCTGTCTAGGTTTGATGTGAAGATATACCCGTTTCGAAGGAAGGCCACTAAGTGGTCCAAATATCCACTTGCAGATTCTACAAAAAGAGTGTTTGAAAGCTGAACTATGAAAGCAAGGTTCAACTCTGTGAGTTGAATGCAAACAT
Source organism: Homo sapiens (assembly GCF_000001405.40). NCBI lineage: Eukaryota > Metazoa > Chordata > Mammalia > Primates > Hominidae > Homo > Homo sapiens. The sequence continues at coordinate 53,012,432 of NC_000011.10, read as the reverse complement.
CACAAAGAAGTTTCTCACAATGCTTCCGTGTAGTTCTGGGAAGTTTATCCCGTTACCAACGAAATCCTCAGAGAGGTCCAAATATCCACTTGCAGATTCTACAGAAAGTGTGTTTGGAAACTGCGCCATCTAAGGGAATGTTCAGCTCTGTTTGTTCAATCCAATGATCACTAAGAATTGTCTGTGAATGCTTCCGTTTGGTTTTTAGATGAAGTTATTTCCTTTACTACAGTAGGCCTCAAAGCAGTCCAAATCTCCAATCGCAGATTCTACAAAAAGATTGTTTACAACCTGCTCTATCTATAGGAATGTTCAACTCTGTGAGTCGAATGCAATCATCACATAGTAGTTTCTGAGAATGCTTCCATCTAGTTTTTATGTGAAGATTTTCCTTTTCCACCACAGACCTCAAAGCCCTCCAAATGTCCACTTGCAGATTCTAGAAAAAGAGGGTTTCAGAGCTGCTCTATCAAGAGGAAAGTTCAGTTCCTGAAGTGGAACACAAACATCACAAAGCAGTTTCTGAGAATGCTCCTGTTTAGTTTTTCTGTGAAGATGAACCCGTTTCCAACGAAATCTTCACAGAGGTCCACATATCCACTTGCAGAATCCAAAGAAAGAGAGTTTCAAAACTGCTCCATCAACAGGATTGTTCACATCTGTGAGTTGAATGCAGTCATCACAGGAAACATTCTGAGAATGCTTCTGTCTAGGTTTGATGTGAAGATATACCCGTTTCGAAGGAAGGCCACAAAGTGGTCCAAATATCCACTTGCAGATTCTACAAAAAGAGTGTTTGAAAGCTGAACTATGAAAGCAAGGTTCAACTCTGTGAGTTGAATGCAAACATCACAAAGAAGTTTCTCAGAATGCTTCCGTGTAGTTCTGGGAAGTTTATCCCGTTTCCAACGAAATCCTCAGAGAAGTCCAAATATCCACTTGCACATTCTACAGAAAGTGTGTTTGGAAACTGCTCCATCTAAAGGAATGTTCAGCTCTGTTAGTTCAATGCAATGATCACTAAGAATTGTCTGTGAATGCTTCCGTTTGGTTTTTAGATGAAGTTATTTCCTTTACTACAGTAGGCCTCAAAGCAGTCCAAATCTCCAATCGCAGATTCTACCAAAAGGTTGTTTACAACCTGCTCTATCTATAGGAATGTTCAACTCTGTGAGTCGAATGCAATCATCACAAAGTAGTTTCTGAGAATGCTTCCATCTAGTTTTTATGTGAAGATTTTCCTTTTCCACCACAGGCCTCAAAGCCCTCCAAATGTCCACTTGCAGATTCTAGAATAAGAGGGTTTCAGAGCTGCTCTTTCAAGAGGAAAGTTCAATTCCTGAAGTGGAACACAAACATCACAAAGCAGTTTCTGAGAATGCTTCTGTTTAGTTTTTCTGTGAAGATGAACCCGTTTCCAACGAAATCTTCACAGAGGTCCACATATCCACTTGCAGAATCCAAAGAAAGAGAGTTTCAAAACTGCTCCATCAGCAGGATTGTTCACCTCTGTGAGTTGAATGCAGTCATCACAGGAAACATTCTGAGAATGCTTCTGTCTAGGTTTGATGTGAAGATATACCCGTTTCGAAGGAAGGCCACAAAGTGGTCCAAATATCCACTTGCAGATTCCACAAAAAGAGTGTTTGAAAGCTGAACTATGAAAGCAAGGTTCAACTCTGTGAGTTGAATGCAAACATCACAAAGAAGTTTCTCACAATGCTTCCGTGTAGTTCTGGGAAGTTTATCCCGTTTCCAACGAAATCCTTAGAGAAGTCCAAATATCCACTTGCAGATTCTACAGAAAGTGTGTTTGGAAACTGCTCCATCTAAAGGAATGTTCAGCTCTGTTAGTTCAATCCAATGATCACTAAGAATTGTCTGTGAATGCTTCCGTTTGGTTTTTAGATGAAGTTATTTCCTTTACTACAGTAGGCCTCAAAGCAGTCCAAATCTCCAATCGCAGATTCTACAAAAAGATTGTTTACAACCTGCTCTATCTATAGGAATGTTCAACTCTGTGAGTCGAATACAATCATCACAAAGTAGTTTCTGAGAATGCTTCCATCTAGTTTTTATGTGAAGATTTTCCTTTTCCACCACAGGCCTCAAAGCCCTCCAAATGTCCACTTGCAGATTCTAGAAAAAGAGGGTTTCAGAGCTGCTCTGTCAAGAGGAAAGTTCAATTCCTGAAGTGGAACACAAACATCACAAAGCAGTTTCTGAGAATGCTTCTGTTTAGTTTTTCTGTGAAGATGAACCCGTTTCCAACGAAATCTTCACAGAGGTCCACATATCCACTTGTAGAATCCAAACAAAGAGAGTTTCAAAACTGCTCCATCAGCAGGATTGTTCACCTCTGTGAGTTGAATGCAGTCATCACAGGAAACATTCTGAGAATGCTTCTGTCTAGGTTTGATGTGAAGATATACCCGTTTCGAAGGAAGGCCACAAAGTGGTCCAAATATCCACTTGCAGATTCTACAAAAAGAGTGTTTGAAAGCTGAACTATGAAAGCAAGGTTCAACTCTGTGAGTTGAATGCAAACATCACAAAGAAGTTTCTCAGAATGCTTCCGTGTAGTTCTGGGAAGTTTATCCCGTTTCCAACGAAATCCTCAGAGAGGTCCAAATATCCACTTGCAGATTCTACAGAAAGTGTGTTTGGAAACTGCGCCATCTAAAGGAATGTTCAGCTCTGTTAGTTCAATGCAATGATCACTAAGAATTGTCTGTGAATGCTTCCGTTTGGTTTTTAGATGAAGTTATTTCCTTTACTACAGTAGGCCTCAAAGCAGTCCAAATCTCCAGTCGCAGATTCTACAAAAAGATTGTTTACAACCTGCTCTATCTATAGGAATGTTCAACTCTGTGAGTCGAATGCAATCATCACAAAGTAGTTTCTGAGAATGCTTCCATCTAGTTTTTATGTGAAGATTTTCCTTTTCCACCACAGGCCTCAAAGCCCTCCAAATGACCACTTGCAGACTCTAGAAAAAGAGGGTTTCAGAGCTGCTCTGTCAAGAGGAAAGTTCAATTCTTGAAGTGGAACACAAACATCACAAAGCAGTTTCTGAGAATGCTTCTGTTTAGTTTTTCTGTGAAGATGAACCCGTTTCCAACGAAATCTTCACAGAGGTCCACATATCCACTTGCAGAATCCAAAGAAAGAGAGTTTCAAAACTGCTCCATCAGCAGGATTGTTCACCTCTGTGAGTTGAATGCAGTCATCACAGGAAACATTCTGACAATGCTTCTGTCTAGGTTTCATGTGAAGATATACCCGTTTCGAAGGAAGGCCACAAAGTGGTCCAAATATCCACTTGCAGATTCCACAAAAAGAGTGTTTGAAAGCTGAACTATGAAAGCAAGGTTCAACTCTGTGAGTTGAATGCAAACATCACAAAGAAGTTTCTCACAATGCTTCCGTGTAGTTCTGGGAAGTTTATCCCGTTTCCAACGAAATCCTCAGAGAAGTCCAAATATCCACTTGCAGATTCTACAGAAAGTGGGTTTGGCAACTGCTCCATCTAAAGGAATGTTCAGCTCTGTTAGTTCAATCCAATGATCACTAAGAATTGTCTGTGAATGCTTCCGTTTGGTTTTTAGATGAAGTTATTTCCTTTACTGCAGTAGGCCTCAAAGCATTCCAAATCTCGAATCGCAGATTCTACAAAAAGATTGTTTACAACCTGCTCTATCTATAGGAATGTTCAACTCTGTGAGTCGAATGCAATCATCACAAAGTAGTTTCTGAGAATGCTTCCATCTAGTTTTTATGTGAAGATTTTCCTTTTCCACCACAGGCCTCAAAGCCCTCCAAATGTCCACTTGCAGATTCTAGAAAAAGAGGGTTTCAGAGCTGCTCTGTCAAGAGGAAAGTTCAATTCTTGAAGTGGAACACAAACATCACAAAGCAGTTTCTGAGAATGCTTCTGTTTAGTTTTTCTGTGAAGATGAACCCGTTTCCAACGAAATCTTCACAGAGGTCCACATATCCACTTGCAGAATCCAAAGAAAGAGAGTTTCAAAACTGCTCCATCAGCAGGATTGTTCACCTCTGTGAGTTGAATGCAGTCATCACAGGAAACATTCTGAGAATGCTTCTGTCTAGGTTTGATGTGAAGATATACCCGTTTCGAAGGAAGGCCACAAAGTGGTCCAAATATCCACTTGCAGATTCTACAAAAAGAGTGTTTGAAAGCTGAACTATGAAAGCAAGGTTGAACTCTGTGAGTTGAATGCAAACATCACAAAGAAGTTTCTCACAATGCTTCCGTGTAGTTCTGGGAATTTTATCCCGTTTCCAACGAAATCCTAAGAGAAGTCCAAATATCCACTTGCAGATTCTACAGAAAGTGGGTTTGGAAACTGCTCCATCTAAAGGAATGTTCAGCTCTGTTAGTTCAATCCAATGATCACTAAGAATTGTCTGTGAATGCTTCCGTTTGGTTTTTAGATGAAGTTATTTCCTTTACTACAGTAGGCCTCAAAGCAGTCCAAATCTCCAATCGCAGATTCTACAAAAAGATTGTTTACAACCTGCTCTATCTATAGGAATGTTCAACTCTGTGAGTCGAATGCAATCATCACAAAGTAGTTTCTGAGAATGCTCCATCTAGTTTTTATGTGAAGATTTTCCTTTTCCACCACAGGCCTCAAAGCCCTCCAAATGTCCACTTGCAGATTCTAGAAAAAGAGGGTTTCAGAGCTGCTCTGTCAAGAGGAAAGTTCAATTCTTGAAGTGGAACACAAACATCACAAAGCAGTTTCTGAGAATGCTCCCTGTTTAGTTTTTCTGTGAAGATGAACCCGTTTCCAACGAAATCTTCACAGAGGTCCACATATCCACCTACAGAATCCAAAGAAAGAGAGTTTCAAAACTGCTCCATCAGCAGGATTGTTCACCTCTGTGAGTTGAATGCAGTCATCACAGGAAAAATTCCGAGAATGCTTCTGTCTAGGTTTGATGTGAAGATATACCCGTTTCGAAGGAAGGCCAGAAAGTGGTCCAAATATCCACTTGCAGATTCTACAAAAAGAGTGTTTGAAAGCTGAACTATGAAAGCAAGGTTCAACTCTGTGAGTTGAATGCAAACATCACAAAGAAGTTTCTCAGAATGCTTCTGTGTAGTTCTGGGAAGTTTATCCCGTTTCCAACGAAATCCTCAGAGAGGTCCAAATATCCACTTGCAGATTCTACAGAAAGTGTGTGTGGAAACTGCTCCATCTAAAGGAATGTTCAGCTCTGTTAGTTCAATCCAATGATCACTAAGAATTGTCTGTGAATGCTTCCGTTTGGTTTTTAGATGAAGTTATTTCCTTTACTACAGTAGGCCTCAAAGCAGTCGAAATCTCCAATCGCAGATTCTACAAAAAGATTGTTTACAACCTGCTCTATCTATAGGAATGTTCAACTCTGTGAGTCGAATGCAATCATCACAAAGTAGTTTCTGAGAATGCTTCCATCTAGTTTTTATGTGAAGATTTTCCTTTTCCACCACAGGCCTCAAAGCCCTACAAATGTCCACTTGCAGATTCTAGAAAAAGAGGGTTTCAGAGCTGCTCTGTCAAGAGGAAAATTCAATTCTTGAAGTGGAACACAAACATCACAAAGCAGTTTCTGAGAATGCTCCTGTTTAGTTTTTCTGTGAAGATGAACCCGTTTCCAACGAAATCTTCACAGAGGTCCACATATCCACTTGCAGAATCCAAAGAAAGAGAGTTTCAAAACTGCTCCATCAGCAGGATTGTTCACCTCTGTGAGTTGAATGCAGTCATCACAGGAAACATTCTGAAAATGCTTCTGTCTAGGTTTGATGTGAAGATATACCCGTTTCGAAGGAAGGCCAGAAAGTGGTCCAAATATCCACTTGCAGATTCTACAAAAAGAGTGTTTGAAAGCTGAACTATGAAAGCAAGGTTCAACTCTGTGAGTTGAATGCAAACATCACAAAGAAGTTTCTCAGAATGCTTCCGTGTAGTTCTGGGAAGTTTATCCCGTTTCCAAAGAAATCCTCAGAGAAGTCCAAATATCCACTTGCAGATTCTACAGAAAGTGTGTTTGGAAAATGCTCCATCTACAGGAATGTTCAGCTCTGTTAGTTCAATGCAATGATCACTAAGAATTGTCTGTGAATGCTTCCGTTTGGTTTTTAGATGGAGTTATTTCCTTTACTACAGTAGGCCTCAAAGCAGTCCAAATCTCCAATCGCAGATTCTACAAAAAGATTGTTTACAACCTGCTCTATCTATAGGAATGTTCAACTCTGTGAGTCGAATGCAATCATCACAAAGTAGTTTCTGAGAATGCTTCCATCTAGTTTTTATGTGAAGATTTTCCTTTTCCACCACAGGCCTCAAATCCCTCCAAATGTCCACTTGCAGTTTCTAGAAAAAGAGGGTTTCAGAGCTGCTCTGTCAAGAGGAAAGTTCAATTCTTGAAGTGGAACACAAACATCACAAAGCAGTTTCTGAGAATGCTTCTGTTTAGTTTTTCTGTGAAGATGAACCCGTTTCCAACGAAATCTTCACAGAGGTCCACATATCCACTTGTAGAATCCGAAGAAAGAGAGTTTCAAAACTGCTCCATCAACAGGATTGTTCACCTCTGTGAGTTGAATGCAGTCATCACAGGAAACATTCTGAGAATGCTTCTGTCTAGGTTTGATGTGAAGATATACCCTTTTCAAAGGAAGGCCACAAAGTGGTCCAAATATCCACTTGCAGATTCTACAAAAAGAGTGTTTGAAAGCTGAACTATGAAAGCAAGGTTCAACTCTGTGAGTTGAATGCAAACATCACAAAGAAGTTTCTCACAATGCTTCCGTGTAGTTCTGGGAAGTTTATCCCGTTTCCAACGAAATCCTCAGAGAGGTCCAAATATCCACTTGCAGATTCTACAGAAAGTGTGTTTGGAAACTGCTCCATCTAAAGGAATGTTCAGCTCTGTTAGTTCAATCCAATGATCACTAAGAATTGTCTGTGAATGCTTCCGTTTGGTTTTTAGATGAAGTTATTTCCTTTACTACAGTAGGCCTCAAAGCAGTCCAAATCTCCAATCGCAGATTCTACAAAAAGATTGTTTACAACCTGCTCTATGTATAGGAATGTTCAACTCTGTGAGTCGAATGCAATCATCACAAAGTAGTTTCTGAGAATGCTTCCATCTAATTTTTATGTGAAGATTTTCCTTTTCCACCACAGGCCTCAAAGCCCTCCAAATGTCCACTTGCAGATTCTAGAAAAAGAGGGTTTCAGAGCTGCTCTGTCAAGAGGAAAGTTCAATTCCTGAAGTGGAACACAAACATCACAAAGCAGTTTCTGAGAATGCTTCTGTGTAGTTTTTCTGTGAAGATGAACCCGTTTCCAACGAAATCTTCACAGAGATCCACATATCCACTTGCAGAATCCAAAGAAAGAGAGTTTCAAAACTGCTCCATCAGCAGCATTGTTCACCTGTGTGAGTTGAATGCAGTCATCACAGGAAACATTCTGAGAATGCTTCTGTCTAGGTTTGATGTGAAGATATACCCGTTTCGAAGGAAGGCCACAAAGTGGTCCAAATATCCACTTGCAGATTCTACAAAAAGAGTGTTTGAAAGCTGAACTAAGAAAGCAAGGTTCAACTCTGTGAGTTGAATGCAAACATCACAAAGAAGTTTCTCAGCATGCTTTCCGTGTAGTTCTGGGAAGTTTATCCCGTTTCCAACGAAATCCTCAGAGAAGTCCAAATATCCACTTGCAGATTCTGCAGAAAGTGTGTTTGGAAACTGCTCCATCTAAAGGAATGTTCAGCTCTGTTAGCTCAATCCAATGATCACTAAGAATTGTCTGTGAATGCTTCCGTTTGGTTTTTAGATGAAGTTATTTACTTTACTACAGTAGGCCTCAAAGCAGTCCAAATCTCCAATCGCAGATTCTACAAAAAGATTGTTTACAACCTGCTCTATCTATAGGAATGTTCAACTCTGTGAGTCGAATGCAATCATCACAAAGTAGTTTCTGAGAATGCTTCCATCTAGTTTTTATGTGAAGATTTTCCTTTTCCACCACAGGCCTCAAAGCCCTCCAAATGTCCACTTGCAGATTCTAGAAAAAGAGGGTTTCAGAGCTGCTCTGTCAAGAGGAAAGTTCAATTCTTGAAGTGGAACACAAACATCACAAAGCAGTTTCTGAGAATGCTTCTGTTTAGTTTTTCTGTGAAGATGAACCCGTTTCCAACGAAATCTTCACAGAGGTCCACATATCAACTTGCAGAATCCAAAGAAAGAGAGTTTCAAAAGTGCTCCATCAACAGGATTGTTCACCTCTGTGAGTTGAATGCAGTCATCACAGGAAACATTCTGAGAATGCTTCTGTCTAGGTTTGATGTGAAGATATACCCGTTTCGAAGGAAGGCCACAAAGTGGTCCAAATATCCACTTGCAGATTCTACAAAAAGAATGTTTGAAAGCTGAACTATGAAAGCAAGGTTCAACTCTGTGAGTTGAATGCAAACATCACAAAGAAGTTTCTCACAATGCTTCCGTGTAGTTCTGGGAAGTTTATCCCGTTTCCAACGAAATCCTCAGAGAAGTCCAAATATCCACTTGCAGATTCTACAGAAAGTGTGTTTGGAAACTGCGCCATCTAAAGGAATGTTCAGCTCTGTTAGTTCAATCCAATGATCACTAAGTATTGTCTGTGAATGCTTCCGTTTGGTTTTCAGATGAAGTTATTTCCTTTACTACAGTAGGCCTCAAAGCAGTCCAAATCTCCAATCGCAGATTCTACAAAAAGATTGTTTACAACCTGCTCTATCTATAGGAATGTTCAACTCTGTGAGTCGAATGCAATCATCACAAAGTAGTTTCTGAGAATGCTTCCATCTAGTTTTTATGTGAAGATTTTCCTTTTCCACCACAGGCCTCAAAGCCCTCCAAATGACCACTTGCAGATTCTAGAAAAAGAGGGTTTCAGAGCTGCTCTGTCAAGAGGAAAGTTCAATTCCTGAAGTGGAACACAAACATCACAAAGCAGTTTCTGAGAATGCTTCTGTTTAGTTTTTCTGTGAAGATGAACCCGTTTCCAACGAAATCTTCACAGAGGTCCACATATCCACTTGCAGAATCCAAAGAAAGAGAGTTTCAAAACTGCTCCATCAGCAGGATTGTTCACCTCTGTGAGTTGAATGCAGTCATCACAGGAAACATTCTGAGAATGCTTCTGTCTAGGTTTGATGTGAAGATATACCCGTTTCGAAGGAAGGCCACAAAGTGGTCCAAATATCCACTTGCAGATTCTACAAAAAGAGTGTTTGAAAGCTGAACTATGAAAGCAAGGTTCAACTCTGTGAGTTGAATGCAAACATCACAAAGAAGTTTCTCAGAATGCTTCCGTGTAGTTCTGGGAAGTTTATCCCGTTTCCAACGAAATCCTCAGAGAAGTCCAAATATCCACTTGCAGATTCTACAGAAAGTGTGTTTGGAAACTGCTCCATCTAAAGGAATGTTCAGCTCTCTTAGTTCAATCCAATATCACTAAGAATTATCTGTGAAGGCTTCCGTTTGATTTTTAGATGAAATTCTTTCCTCTACTACAGTAGGCCTCAAAGCAGTCCAAATCTCCAATCGCAGATTCTACAAAAAGATTGTTTACAACCTGCTCTATCTATAGGAATGTTCAACTCTGTGGGTCGAATGCAATCATCACAAAGTACTTTCTGAGAATGCTTCCATCTAGTTTTTATGTGAAGAGTTTCCTTTTCCACCACAGGCCTCAAAGCCATCCAAATGTATACTTGCAGATTCTAGAAAAAGAGGGTTTCAGAGCTGCTCTGTCAAGAGGAAAGTTCAATTCTTGAAGTGGAACACAAACATCACAAAGCAGTTTCTGAGAATGCTTCTGTTTAGTTTTTCTGTGAAGATGAACCCGTTTCCAACGAAATCTTCACAGAGGTCCACATATCCACTGGCAGAATCCAAAGAAAGAGAGTTTCAAAAGTGCTCCATCAACAGGATTGTTCACCTCTGTGAGTTGAATGCAGTCATCACAGGAAACATTCTGAGAATGCTTCTGTCTAGGTTTGATGTGAAGATATACCCGTTTCGAAGGAAGGCCACAAAGTGGTCCAAATATCCACTTGCAGATTCTACAAAAAGAGTGTTTGAAAGCTGAACTATGAAAGCAAGGTTCAACTCTGTGAGTTGAATGCAAACATCACAAAGAAGTTTCTCACAATGCTTCCGTGTAGTTCTGGGAAGTTTATCCCGTTTCCAACGAAATCCTCAGAGAAGTCCAAATATCCACTTGCAGATTCTGCAGAAAGTGTGTTTGGAAACTGCTCCATCTAAAGGAATGTTCAGCTCTGTTAGCTCAATCCAATGATCACTAAGAATTGTCTGTGAATGCTTCCGTTTGGTTTTTAGATGAAGTTATTTCCTTTACTACAGTAGGCCTCAAAGCAGTCCAAATCTCCAATCGCAGATTCTACAAAAAGATTGTTTACAACCTGCTCTATCTATAGGAATGTTCAACTCTGTGAGTCGAATGCAATCATCACAAAGTAGTTTCTGAGAATGCTTCCATCTAATTTTTATGTGAAGATTTTCCTTTTCCACCACAGGCCTCAAATCCCTCCAAATGTCCACTTGCAGACTCTAGAAAAAGAGGGTTTCAGAGCTGCTCTGTCAAGAGGAAAGTTCAATTCTTGAAGTGGAACACAAACATCACAAAGCAGTTTCTGAGAATGCTTCTGTTTAGTTTTTCTGTGAAGATGAACCCTTTTCCAACGAAATCTTCACAGAGGTCCACATATCCACTTGCAGAATCCAAAGAAAGAGAGATTCAAAACTGCTCCATCAACAGGATTGTTCACCTCTGTGAGTTGAATGCAGTCATCACATGAAACATTCTGAGAATGCTTCTGTCTAAGTTTGATGTGAAGATATACCCGTTTCGAAGGAAGGCCACAAAGTGGTCCAAATATCCACTTGCAGATTCTACAAAAAGAGTGTTTGAAAGCTGAACTATGAAAGCAAGGTTCAACTCTGTGAGTTGAATGCAAACATCACAAAGAAGTTTCTCAGAATGCTTCCGTGTAGTTCTGGGAATTTTATCCCGTTTCCAACGAAATCCTCAGAGAGGTCCAAATATCCACTTGCGGATTCTACAGAAAGTGTGTTTGGAAACTGCTCCATCTAAAGGAATGTTCAGCTCTGTTAGTTCAATCCAATGATCACTAAGAATTGTCTGTGAATGCTTCCGTTTGGTTTTTAGATGAAGTTATTTCCTTTACTACAGTAGGCCTCAAAGCAGTCCAAATCTCCAATCGCAGATTCTACAAAAAGATTGTTTACAACCTGCTCTATCTATAGGAATGTTCAACTCTGTGAGTCGAATGCAATCATCACAAAGTAGTTTCTGAGAATGCTTCCATCTAGTTTTTATGTGAAGATTTTCCTTTTCCACCACAGGCCTCAAAGCCCTCCAAATGTCCACTTGCAGATTCTGGAAAAAGAGGGTTTCAGAGCTGCTCTGTCAAGAGGAAAGTTCAATTCCTGAAGTGGAACACAAACATCACAAAGCAGTTTCTGAGAATGCTTCTGTTTAGTTTTTCTGTGAAGATTAACACGTTTCCAACGAAATCTTCACAGAGGTCCAGATATCCACTTGCAGAATCCAAAGAAAGAGAGTTTCAAAACTGCTCCATCAGCAGGATTGTTCACCTCTGTGAGTTGAATGCAGTCATCATAGGAAACATTCTGAGAATGCTTCTGTCTAGGTTTGATGTGAAGATATACCCGTTTCGAAGGAAGGCCACAAAGTGGTCCAAATATCCACTTGCAGATTCTACAAAAAGAGTGTTTGAAAGCTGAACTATGAAAGCAAGTTTCAACTCTGTGAGTTGAATGCAAACATCACAAAGAAGTTTCTCAGAATGCTTCCGTGTAGTTCTGGGAAGTTTATCCCGTTTCCAACGAAATCCTCAGAGAAGTCCAAATATCCACTTGCAGATTCTACAGAAAGTGTGTTTGTAAACTGCTCTATCTAAAGGAATGTTCAGCTCTGTTTGTTCAATCCAATGATCACTAAGTATTGTCTGTGAATGCTTCCGTTTGGTTTTTAGATGAAGTTATTTCCTTTTCTACAGTAGGCCTCAAAGCAGTCCAAATCTCCAATCGCAGATTCTACAAAAAGATTGTTTACAACCTGCTCTATCTATAGGAATGTTCAACTCTGTGAGTCGAATGCAATCATCACAAAGTAGTTTCTGAGAATGCTTCCATCTAGTTTTTATGTGAAGATTTTCCTTTTCCACCACAGGCCTCAAAGCCCTCCAAATGTCCACTTGCAGATTCTAGAAAAAGAGGGTTTCAGAGCTGCTCTGTCAAGAGGAAAGTTCAATTCTTGAAGAGGAACACAAACATCACAAAGCAGTTTCTGAGAATGCTCCTGTTAATTTTTCTGTGAAGATGAACCCGTTTCCAACGAAATCTTCACAGTGTTCCACATATCCACTTGCAGAATCAAAAGAAAGGGAGTTTCAAAACGGCTCCATCAACAGGATTGTTCACCTCTGTGAGTTGAATGCAGTCATCACAGGAAACATTCTGAGAATGCTTCTGTCTAGGTTTGATGTGAAGATATACCCGTTTCGAAGGAAGGCCACAAAGTGGTCCAAATATCCACTTGCAGATTCTACAAAAAGAGTGTTTGAAAGCTGAACTATGAAAGCAAGGTTCAACTCTGTGAGTTGAATGCAAACATCACAAAGAAGTTTCTCAGAATGCTTCCGTGTAGTTCTGGGAAGTTTATCCCGTTTCCAACGAAATCCTCAGAGAAGTCCAAATATCCACTTGCAGATTCTACATAAAGTTTGTTTGGAAACTGCGCCATCTAAAGGAATGTTCAGCTCTGTTAGTTCAATGCAATGATCACTAAGAATTGTCTGTGAATGCTTCCGTTTGGTTTTTAGATGAAGTTATTTCCTTTACTACAGTAGGCCTCAAAGCAGTCCAAATCTCTAATCGCAGATTCTACAAAAAGATTGTTTACAACCTGCTCTATCAATAGGAATGTTCAACTCTGTGAGTCGAATGCAATCATCACAAAGTAGTTTCTGAGAATGCTTCCATAAAGTTTTTATGTGAAGATTTTCCTTTTCCACCACAGGCCTCAAAGCCCTCCAAATGTCAACTTGCAGATTCTAGAAAAAGAGGGTTTCAGAGCTGCTCTGTCAAGAGGAAAGTTCAATTCTTTAAGTGGAACACAAACATCACAAAGCAGTTTCTGAGAATGCTCCTGTTTAGTTTTTCTGTGAAGATGAACCCGTTTCCAACGAAATCTTCACAGAGGTCCACATATCCACTTGCAGAATCCAAAGAAAGAGAGTTTCAAAACTGCTCCATCAGCAGGATTGTTCACCTCTGTGAGTTGAATGCAGTCATCACAGGAAACATTCTGAGAATGCTTCTGTCTAGGTTTGATGTGAAGATATACCCGTTTCGAAGGAAGGCCACAAAGTGGTCCAAATATCCACTTGCAGATTCTACAAAAAGAGTGTTTGAAAGCTGAACTATGAAAGCAACGTTCAACTCTGTGAGTTGAATGCAAACATCACAAAGAAGTTTCTCACAATGCTTCCGTGTAGTTCTGGGAATTTTATCCCGTTTCCAACGAAATCCTCAGAGAGGTCCAAATATCCACTTGCAGATTCTACAGAAAGTGTGTTTGGAAACTGCGCCATCTAAAGGAATGTTCAGCTCTGTTAGTTCAATGCAATGATCACTAAGAATTGTCTGTGAATGCTTCCGTTTGGTTTTTAGATGAAGTTATTTCCTTTACTACAGTAGGCCTCAAAGCAGTCCAAATCTCCAATCGCAGATTTTACAAAAAGATTGTTTACAACCTGCTCTATCTATAGGAATGTTCAACTCTGTGAGTCGAATGCAATCATCACAAAGTAGTTTCTGAGAATGCTCCATCTAGTTTTTATGTGAAGATTTTCGTTTTCCACCACAGGCCTCAAAGCCCTCCAAATGTCCACTTGCAGATTCTAGAATAAGAGGGTTTCAGAGCTGCTCTGTCAAGAGGAAAGTTCAATTCCTGAAGTGGAACACAAACATCACAAAGCAGTTTCTGAGAATGCTTTCTGTTTAGTTTTTCTGTGAAGATGAACCCGTTTCCAACGAAATCTTCACAGAGGTCCACATATCCACTTGCAGAATCCAAAGAAAGAGAGTTTCAAAACTGCTCCATCAGCAGGATTGTTCACCTCTGTGAGTTGAATGCAGTCATCACAGGAAACATTCTGAGAATGCTTCTGTCTAGGTTTGATGTGAAGATATACCCGTTTCGAAGGAAGGCCACAAAGTGGTCCAAATATCCACTTGCAGATTCTACAAAAGGAGTGTTTGAAAGCTGAACTATGAAAGCAAGGTTCAACTCTGTGAGTTGAATGCAAACATCACAAAGAAGTTTCTCACAATGCTTCCGTGTAGTTCTGGGAAGTTTATCCCGTTTCCAACGAAATCCTCAGAGAAGTCCAAATATCCACTTGCAGATTCTACAGAAAGTGTGTTTGGAAACTGCTCCATCTAAAGGAATGTTCAGCTCTGTTAGTTCAATGCAATGATCACTAAGAATTGTCTGTGAATGCTTCCGTTTGGTTTTTAGATGAAGTTATTTCCTTTACTACAGTAGGCCTCAAAGCAGTCCAAATCTCCAATCGCAGATTCTACAAAAAGATTGTTTACAACCTGCTCTATCTATAGGAATGTTCAACACTGTGAGTCGAATGCAATCATCAAAAAGTACTTTCTGAGAATGCTTCCATCTAGTTTTTATGTGAAGATTTTCCTTTTCCACCACAGGCCTCAAAGCCCTCCAAATGTCCACTTGCAGATTCTAGAATAAGAGGGTTTCAGAGCTGCTCTGTCAAGAGGAAAGTTCAGTTCCTGAAGTGGAACGCAAACATCACAAAGCAGTTTCTGAGAATGCTTTCTGTTTAGTTTTTCTGTGAAGATGAACCAGTTTTCAACGAAATCTTCACAGAGGTCCACATATCAACTTGCAGAATCCAAAGAAAGAGAGTTTCAAAACTGCTCCATCAACAGGATTGTTCACCTCTGTGAGTTGAATGCAGTCATCACAGGAAACATTCTGAGAATGCTTCTGTCTAGGTTTGATGTGAAGATATACCCGTTTCGAAGGAAGGCCACAAAGTGGTCCAAATATCCACTTGCAGATTCTACAAAAAGAGTGTTTGAAAGCTGAACTATGAAAGCAAGGTTCAACTCTGTGAGTTGAATGCAAACATCACAAAGAAGTTTCTCAGAATGCTTCTGTATAGTTCTGGGAATTTTATCCCGTTTCCAACGAAATCCTCAGAGAGGTCCAAATATCCACTTGCAGATTCTACAGAAAGTGTGTTTGGAAACTGCGCCATCTAAGGGAATGTTCAGCTATGTTAGTTCAATCCAATGATCACTAAGAATTGTCTGTGAATGCTTCCGTTTGGTTTTTAGATGAAGTTATTTCCTTTACTACAGTAGGCCTCAAAGCAGTCCAAATCTCCAATCGCAGATTCTACAAAAAGATTGTTTACAACCTGCTCTATCTATAGGAATGTTCAACTCTGTGAGTCGAATGCAATCATCACAAAGTAGTTTCCTGAGAATGCTTTCCATCTAGTTTTTATGTGAAGATTTTCCTTTTCCACCACAGGCCTCAAAGCCCTCCAAATGTCCACTTGCAGATTCTAGAAAAAGAGGGTTTCAGAGCTGCTCTGTCAAGAGGAAAGTTCAATTCTTGAAGTGGAACACAAACATCACAAAGTAGTTTCTGAGAATGCTTCTGTTAATTTTTCTGTGAAGATGAACCCGTTTCCAACCAAATCTTCACAGAGGTCCACATATCCACTTGCAGAATCCAAAGAAAGAGAGTTTCAAAACTGCTCCATCAACAGGATTGTTCACCTCTGTGAGTTGAATGCAGTCATCACAGGAAACATTCTGAGAATGCTTCTGTCTAGGTTTGATGTGAAGATATACCCGTTTCGAAGGAAGGCCACAAAGTGGTCCAAATATCCACTTGCAGATTCCACAAAAAGAGTGTTTGAAAGCTGAACTATGAAAGCAAGGTTCAACTCTGTGAGTTGAATGCTAACATCACAGAGAAGTTTCTCACAATGCTTCCGTGTAGTTCTGGGAAGTTTATCCCGTTTCCAACGAAATCCTCAGAGAAGTCCAAATATCCACTTGCAGATTCTACAGAAAGTGTGTTTGGAAACTGCTCCATCTAAAGGAATGTTCAGCTCTGTTAGTTCAATCCAATGATCACTAAGAATTGTCTGTGAATGCTTCCGTTTGGTTTTTAGATGAAGTTATTTCCTTTACTACAGTAGGCCTCAAAGCAGTCCAAATCTCCAATCGCAGATTCTACAAAAAGATTGTTTACAACCTGCTCTATCTATAGGAATGTTCAACTCTGTGAGTCGAAAGCCATCATCACAAAGTAGTTTCTGAGAATGCTTCCATCTAGTTTTTATGTGAAGATTTTCCTTTTCCACCACAGGCCTCCAAGCCCTCCAAATGTCCACTTGCAGATTCTAGAAAAAGAGGGTTTCAGAGCTGCTCTGTCAAGAGGAAAGTTCAATTCCTGAAGTGGAACACAAACATCACAAAGCAGTTTCTGAGAATGTTTCTGTTTAGTTTTTCTGTGAAGAAGAAACAGTTTTCAACGAAATCTTCAGAGAGGTCCACATATCCACTTGCAGAATCCAAAGAAAGAGAGTTTCAAAACTGCTCCATCAGCAGGATTGTTCACCTCTGTGAGTTGAATGCAGTCATCACAGGAAACATTCTGAGAATGCTTCTGTCTAGGTTTGATGTGAAGATATACCCGTTTCGAAGGAAGGCCACAAAGTGGTCCAAATATCCACTTGCAGATTCTACAAAAAGAGTGTTTGAAAGCTGAACTATGAAAGCAAGGTTCAACTCTGTGAGTTGAATGCAAACATCACAAAGAAGTTTCTCACAATGCTTCCGTGTAGTTCTGGGAAGTTTATCCCGTTTCCAACGAAATCCTCAGAGAAGTCCAAATATCCACTTGCAGATTCTACAGAAAGTGTGTTTGGAAACTGCTCCATCTAAAGGAATGTTCAGCTCTCTTAGTTCAATCGAATGATCACTAAGAATTGTCTGTGAATGCTTCCGTTTGGTTTTTAGATGAAGTTATTTCCTTTACTACAGTAGGCCTCAAAGCAGTCCAAATCTCCAATCGCAGATTCTACAAAAAGATTGTTTACAACCTGCTCTATCTATAGGAATGTTCAACTCTGTGAGTCGAATGCAATCATCACAAAGTAGTTTCTGAGAATGCTTCCATCTAGTTTTTATGTGAAGATTTTCCTTTTCCACCACAGGCCTCAAATCCCTCCAAATGTCCACTTGCAGATTCTAGAAAAAGAGGGTTTCAGAGCTGCTCTGTCAAGAGGAAAGTTCAATTCTTGAAGTGGAACACAAACATCGCAAAGCAGTTTCTGAGAATGCTCCTGTTTAGTTTTTCTGTGAAGATGAACCCGTTTCCAACGAAATCTTCACAGAGGTCCACATATCCACTTGCAGAATCCAAAGAAAGAGAGTTTCAAAACTGCTCCATCAACAGGATTGTTCACCTCTGTGAGTTGAATGCAGTCATCACAGGAAACATTCTGAGAATGCTTCTGTCTAGGTTTGATGTGAAGATATACCCGTTTCGAAGGAAGGCCACAAAGTGGTCCAAATATCTACTTGCAGATTCTACAAAAAGAGTGTTTGAAAGCTGAACTATGAAAGCAAGGTTCAACTCTGTGAGTTGAATGCAAACATCACAAAGAAGTTTCTCAGAATGCTTCCGTGTAGTTCTGGGAAGTTTATCCCGTTTCCAACGAAATCCTCAGAGAGGTCCAAATATCCACTTGCTGATTCTACAGAAAGTGTGTTTGGAAACTGCGCCATCTAAGGGAATGTTCAGCTCTGTTAGTTCAATCCAATGATCACTAAGAATTGTCTGTGAATGCTTCCGTTTGGTTTTTAGATGAAGTTATTTCCTTTACTACAGTAGGCCTCAAAGCAGTCCAAATCTCCAATCGCAGATTCTACAAAAAGATTGTTTACAACCTGCTCTATCTATAGAAATGTTCAACTCTGTGAGTCGAATGCAATCATCACAAAGTAGTTTCTGAGAATGCTTCCATCTAGTTTTTATGTGAAGATTTTCCTTTTCCACCACAGGCCTCAAAGCCCTCCAAATGTCCACTTGCAGATTCTAGAATAAGAGGGTTTCAGAGCTGCTCTGTCAAGAGGAAAGTTCAATTCCTGAAGTGGAACACAAACATCACAAAGCAGTTTCTGAGAATGCTCCTGTTTAGTTTTTCTGTGAAGATGAACCCGTTTCCAACGAAATCTTCACAGAGGTCCACATATCCACTTGCAGAATCCAAAGAAAGAGAGTTTCAAAACTGCTCCATCAGCAGGATTGTTCACCTCTGTGAGTTGAATGCAGTCATCACAGGAAACATTCTGAGAATGCTTCTGTCTAGGTTTGATGTGAAGATATACCCGTTTCGAAGGAAGGCCACAAAGTGGTCCAAATATCCACTTGCAGATTCTACAAAAAGAGTGTTTGAAAGCTGAACTATGAAAGCAAGGTTCAACTCTGTGAGTTGAATGCAAACATCACAAAGAAGTTTCTCACAATGCTTCCCTGTAGTTCTGGGAAGTTTATCCCGTTTCCAACGAAATCCTCAGAGAAGTCCAAATATCCACTTGCAGATTCTACAGAAAGTGTGTTTGGAAACTGCGCCATCTAAAGGAATGTTCAGCTCTGTTAGTTCAATCCAATGATCACTAAGAATTGTCTGTGAATGCTTCCGTTTGGTTTTTAGATGAAGTTATTTCCTTTACTACAGTAGGCCTCAAAGCAGTCCAAATCTCCAATCGCAGATTCTACAAAAAGATTGTTTACAACCTGCTCTATCTATAGGAATGTTCAACTCTGTGAGTCGAATGCAATCATCACAAAGTAGTTTCTGAGAATGCTTCCATCTAGTTTTTATGTGAAGATTTTCCTTTTCCACCACAGGCCTCAAAGCCCTCCAAATGTCCACTTGCAGATTCTAGAAAAAGAGGGTTTCAGAGCTGCTCTGTCA
The DNA here is from genome assembly GCF_000001405.40 of Homo sapiens. Classification (NCBI taxonomy): domain Eukaryota; kingdom Metazoa; phylum Chordata; class Mammalia; order Primates; family Hominidae; genus Homo; species Homo sapiens. Next base: position 52,993,259 of record NC_000011.10, on the reverse strand, counting down.
AGAGGAAAGTTCAATTCTTGAAGTGGAACACAAACATCACAAAGCAGTTTCTGAGAATGCTTCTGTTTAGTTTTTCTGTGAAGATGAACCAGTTTCCAACGAAATCTTCACAGAGGTCCACATATCCACTTGCAGAATCCAAAGAAAGAGAGTTTCAAAACTGCTCCATCAGCAGGATTGTTCACCTCTGTGAGTTGAATGCAGTCATCACAGGAAACATTCTGAGAATGCTTCTGTCTAGGTTTGATGTGAAGATATACCCGTTTCGAAGGAAGGCCACAAAGTGGTCCAAATATCCACTTGCAGATTCTACAAAAAGAGTGTTTGAAAGCTGAACTATGAAAGCAAGGTTCAACTCTGTGAGTTGAATGCAAACATCACAAAGAAGTTTCTCACAATGCTTCCGTGTAGTTCTGGGAAGTTTATCCCGTTTCCAAAGAAATCCTCAGAGAAGTCCAAATATCCACTTGCAGATTCTACAGAAAGTGGGTTTGGAAACTGCTCCATCTAAAGGAATGTTCAGCTCTGTTATTTCAATCCAATGATCACTAAGAATTGTCTGTGAATGCTTCCGTTTGGTTTTTAGATGAAGTTATTTCCTTTACTACAGTAGGCCTCAAAGCAGTCCAAATCTCCAATCGCAGATTCTACAAAAAGATTGTTTACAACCTGCTCTATCTATAGGAATGTTCAACTCTGTGAGTCGAATGCAATCATCACAAAGTAGTTTCTGAGAATGCTTCCATCTAGTTTTTATGTGAAGATTTTCCTTTTCCACCACAGGCCTCAAAGCCCTCCAAATGTCCACTTGCAGATTCTAGAAAAAGAGGGTTTCAGAGCTGCTCTGTCAAGAGGAAAGTTCAATTCTTGAAGTGGAACACAAACATCACAAAGTAGTTTCTGAGAATGCTCCTGTTTAGTTTTTCTGTGAAGATGAACCCGTTTCCAATGAAATCTTCACAGAGGTCCACATATCCACTTGCAGAATCCAAAGAAAGAGAGTTTAAAAACTGCTCCATCAGCAGGATTGTTCACCTCTGTGAGTTGAATGCAGTCATCACAGGAAACATTCTGAGAATGCTTCTGTCTAGGTTTGATGTGAAGATATACCCGTTTCGAAGGAAGGCCACAAAGTGGTCCAAATATCCACTTGCAGATTCTACAAAAAGAGTGTTTGAAAGCTGAACTATGAAAGCAAGGTTCAACTCTGTGAGTTGAATGCAAACATCACAAAGAAGTTTCTCAGAATGCTTCCGTGTAGTTCTGGGAAGTTTATCCCGTTTCCAACGAAATCCTCAGAGAAGTCCAAATATCCACTTGCAGATTCTACAGAAAGTGTGTTTGGAAACTGCGCCATCTAAAGGAATGTTCAGCTCTGTTAGTTCAATGCAATGATCACTAAGAATTGTCTGTGAATGCTTCCGTTTGGTTTTTAGATGAAGTTATTTCCTTTACTACAGTAGGCCTCAAAGCAGTCCAAATCTCCAATCAAAGATTCTGCAAAAAGATTGTTTACAACCTGCTCTATCTATAGGAATGTTCAACTCTGTGAGTCGAATGCAATCATCACAAAGTAGTTTCTGAGAATGCTTTCATCTAGTTTTTATGTGAAGATTTTCCTTTTCCACCACAGGCCTCAAAGCCCTCCAAATGTCCACTTGCAGATTCTAGAAAAAGAGGGTTTCAGAGCTGCTCTGTCAAGAGGAAAGTTCAATTCTTGAAGTGGAACACAAACATCACAAAGCAGTTTCTGAGAATGCTTCTGTTTAGTTTTTCTGTGAAAATGAACCCGTTTCCAACGAAATCTTCACAGAGGTCCACATATCCACTTGCAGAATCCAAAGAAAGAGAGATTCAAAACTGCTCCATCAACAGGATTGTTCACCTCTGTGAGTTGAATGCAGTCATCACATGAAACATTCTGAGAATGCTTCTGTCTAGGTTTGATGTGAAGATATACCCGTTTCGAAGGAAGGCCACAAAGTGGTCCAAATATCCACTTGCAGATTCTACAAAAAGAGTGTTTGAAAGCTGAACTATGAAAGCAAGGTTCAACTCTGTGAGTTGAATGCAAACATCACAAAGAAGTTTCTCAGAATGCTTCCGTGTAGTTCTGGGAAGTTTATCCCGTTTCCAACGAAATCCTCAGAGACGTCCAAATATCCACTTGCAGATTCTACAGAAAGTGGGTTTGGAAACTGCGCCATCTAAAGGAATGTTCAGCTCTGTTAGTTCAATGCAATGATCACTAAGAATTGTCTGTGAATGCTTCCGTATGGTTTTTAGATGAAGTTATTTCCTTTACTACAGTAGGCCTCAAAGCAGTCCAAATCTCCAATCGCAGATTCTACAAAAAGATTGTTTACAACCTACTCTATCTATAGGAATGTTCAACTCTGTGAGTCGAATGCAATCATCACAAAGTAGTTTCTGAGAATGCTTCCATCTAGTTTTTATGTGAAGATTTTCCTTTTCCACCACAGGCCTCAAAGCCCTCCAAATGTCCACTTGCAGATTCTAGAATAAGAGGGTTTCAGAGCTGCTCTGTCAAGAGGAAAGTTCAATTCCTGAAGTGGAACACAAACATCACAAAGCAGTTTCTGAGAATGCTTCTGTTTAGTTTTTCTGTGAAGATGCACCCGTTTCCAACGAAATCTTCACAGAGGTCCACATATCCACTTGCAGAATCCAAAGAAAGAGAGTTTCAAAACAGCTCCATCAGCAGGATTGTTCACCTCTGTGAGTTGAATGCAGTCATCACAGGAAACATTCTGAGAATGCTTCTGTCTAGGTTTGATGTGAAGATATACCCGTTTCGAAGGAAGGCCACAAAGTGGTCCAAATATCCACTTGCAGATTCTACAAAAAGAGTGTTTGAAAGCTGAACTATGAAAGCAAGGTTCAACTCTGTGAGTTGAATGCAAACATCACAAAGAAGTTTCTCAGAATGCTTCCGTGTAGTTCTGGGAAGTTTATCCCGTTTCCAACGAAATCCTCAGAGAAGTCCAAATATCCACTTGCAGATTCTACAGAAAGTGCGTTTGGAAAATGCTCCATCTAAAGGAATGTTCAGCTCTGTTAGTTCAATCCAATGATCACTAAGAATTGTCTGTGAATGCTTCCGTTTGGTTTTTAGATTAAGTTATTTCCTTTACTACAGTAGGCCTCAAAGCAGTCCAAATCTCCAATCGCAGATTCTACAAAAAGATTGTTTACAACCTGCTCTATCTATAGGAATGTTCAACTCTGTGAGTCGAATGCAATCATCACAAAGTAGTTTCTGAGAATGCTTCCATCTAGTTATTATGTGAAGATTTTCCTTTTCCACCACAGGCCTCAAAGCCCTCCAAATGTCCACTTGCAGATTCTAGAATAAGAGGGTTTCAGAGCTGCTCTGTCAAGAGGAAAGTTCAATTCCTGAAGTGGAACACAAACATCACAAAGCAGTTTACTGAGAATGCTTCTGTTTAGTTTTTCTGTGAAGATAAACCCGTTTCCAATGAAATCTTCACAGAGGTCCACATATCCACTTGCAGAATCCAAAGAAAGAGAGTTTCAAAACTGCTCCATCAGCAGGATTGTTCACCTCTGTGAGTTGAATGCAGTCATCACAGGAAACATTCTGAGAATGCTTCTGTCTAGGTTTGATGTGAAGATATACCCGTTTCGAAGGAAGGCCACAAAGTGGTCCAAATATCCACTTGCAGATTCTACAAAAAGAGTGTTTGAAAGCTGAACTATGAAAGCAAGGTTCAACTCTATGAGTTGAATGCAAACATCACAAAGAAGTTTCTCAGAATGCTTCCGTGTACTTCTGGGAAGTTTATCCCGTTTCCAATGAAATCCTCAGAGAGGTCCAAATATCCACTTGCAGATTCTACAGAAAGTGTGTTTGGAAACTGCGCCATCTAAAGGAATGTTCAGCTCTGTTAGTTCAATGCAATGATCACTAAGAATTGTCTGTGAACGCTTCCGTTTGGTTTTTAGATGAAGTTATTTCCTTTACTACAGTAGGCCTCAAAGCAGTCCAAATCTCCAATCGCAGATTCTACAAAAAGATTGTTTACAACCTGCTCTATCTATAGGAATGTTCAACTCTGTGAGTCGAATGCAATCATCACAAAGTAGTTTCTGAGAATGCTTCCATCTAGTTTTTATGTGAAGATTTTCCTTTTCCACCACAGGCCTCAAAGCCCTCCAAATGTCCACTTGCAGATTCTAGAAAAAGAGGGTTTCAGAGCTGGTCTGTCAAGAGGAAAGTTCAATTCCTGAAGTGGAACACAAACATCACAAAGCAGTTTCTGAGAATGCTCCTGTTTAGTTTTTCTGTGAAGATGAACCCGTTTCCAACGAAATCTTCACAGAGGTCCACATATCCACTTGCAGAATCCAAAGAAAGAGAGTTTCAAAACTGCTCCATCAGCATGATTGTTCACCTCTGTGAGTTGAATGCAGTCATCACAGGAAACATTCTGAGAATGCTTCTGTCTAGGTTTGATGTGAAGATATACCCGTTTCGAAGGAAGGCCACAAAGTGGTCCAAATATCCACTTGCAGATTCTACAAAAAGAGTGTTTGAAAGCTGAACTATGAAAGCAAGGTTCAACTCTGTGAGTTGAATGCAAACATCACAAAGAAGTTTCTCACAATGCTTCCGTGTAGTTCTGGGAAGTTTATCCCGTTTCCAACGAAATCCTCAGAGAGGTCCAAATATCCACTTGCAGATTCTACAGAAAGTGTGTTTGGAAACTGCGCCATCTAAAGGAATGTTCAGCTCTGTTAGTTCAATGCAATGATCACTAAGGATTGTCTGTGAATGCTTCCGTTTGGTTTTTAGATGAAGTTATTTCCTTTACTACAGTAGGCCTCAAAGCAGTCCAAATCTCCAATCGCAGATTCTACAAAAAGATTGTTTACAACCTGCTCTATCTATAGGAATGTTCAACTCTGTGAGTCGAATGCAATCATCACAAAGTAGTTTCTGAGAATGCTTCCATAAAGTTTTTACGTGAAGATTTTCCTTTTCCACCACAGACCTCAAAGCCCTCCAAATGTCCACTTGCAGATTCTAGAAAAAGAGGGTTTCAGAGCTGCTCTGTCAAGAGGAAAGTTCAATTCTTGAAGTGGAACACAAACATCACAATGCAGTTTCTGAGAATGCTTCTGTTTTGTTTTTCTGTGAAGATGAACCCGTTTCCAACGAAATCTTCACAGAGGTCCACATATCCACTTGCAGAATCCAAAGAAAGAGAGTTTCAAAACTGCTCCATCAGCAGGATTGTTCACCTCTGTGAGTTGAATGCAGTCATCACAGGAAACATTCTGAGAATGCTTCTGTCTAGGTTTGATGTGAAGATATACCCGTTTCGAAGGAAGGCCACAAAGTGGTCCAAATATCCACTTGCAGATTCTACAAAAAGAGTGTTTGAAAGCTGAACTATGAAAGCAAGGTTCAACTCTGTGAGTTGAATGCAAACATCACAAAGAAGTTTCTCAGCATGCTTCCGTGTAGTTCTGGGAAGTTTATCCCGTTTCCAACGAAATCCTCAGAGAAGTCCAAATATCCACTTGCAGATTCTACAGAAAGTGTGTTTGGAAACTGCTCCATCTAAAGGAATGTTCAGCTCTGTTAGTTCAATCCAATGATCACTAAGAATTGTCTGTGAATGCTTCCGTTTGGTTTTTAGATGAAGTTATTTCCTTTACTGCAGTAGGCCTCAAAGCATTCCAAATCTCGAATCGCAGATTCTACAAAAAGATTGTTTACAACCTGCTCTATCTATAGGAATGTTCAACTCTGTGAGTCGAATGCAATCATCACAAAGTAGTTTCTGAGAATGCTTCCATCTAGTTTTTATGTGAAGATTTTCCTTTTCCACCACAGGCCTCAAAGCCCTCCAAATGTCCACTTGCAGATTCTAGAATAAGAGGATTTCAGAGCTGCTCTGTCAAGAGGAAAGCTCAATTCCTGAAGTGGAACACAAACATCACAAAGCAGTTTCTGAGAATGCTCCTGTTTAGTTTTTCTGTGAAGATGAACCCGTTTCCAACGAAATCTTCACAGAGGTCCACATATCCACTTGCAGAATCCAAAGAAAGAGAGTTTCAAAACTGCTCCATCAGCAGGATTGTTCACCTCTGTGAGTTGAATGCAGTCATCACAGGAAACATTCTGAGAATGCTTCTGTCTAGGTTTGATGTGAAGATATACCCGTTTCGAAGGAAGGCCACAAAGTGGTCCAAATATCCACTTGCAGATTCTACAAAAAGAGTGTTTGAAAGCTGAACTATGAAAGCAAGTTTCAACTCTGTGAGTTGAATGCAAACATCACAAAGAAGTTTCTCACAATGCTTCCGTGTAGTTCTGGGAAGTTTATCCCGTTTCCAACGAAATCCTCAGAGAGGTCCAAATATCCACTTGCAGATTCTACAGAAAGTGTGTTTGGAAACTGCGCCATCTAAAGGAATGTTCAGCTCTGTTAGTTCAATGCAATGATCACTAAGAATTGTCTGTGAATGCTTCCGTTTGGATTTTAGATGAAGTTATTTCCTTTACTACAGTAGGCCTCAAAGCAGTCCAAATCTCCAATCGCAGATTCTACAAAAAGATTGCTTACAACCTGCTCTATCTATAGGAATGTTCAACTCTGTGAGTCGAATGCAATCATCACAAAGTAGTTTCTGAGAATGCTTCCATCTAGTTTGTATGTGAAGATTTTCCTTTTCCACCACAGGCCTCAAAGCCCTCCAAATGTCCACTTGCAGATTCTAGAAAAAGAGGGTTTCAGAGCTGCTCTGTCAAGAGGAAAGTTTAATTCTTGAAGTGGAACACAAACATCACAAAGCAGTTTCTGAGAATGCTTCTGTTTAGTTTTTCTGTGAAGATGAACCCGTTTCCAACGAAATCTTCACAGAGGTCCACATATCCACTTGCAGAATCCAAAGAATGGGAGTTTCAAAACTGCTCCATCAGCAGGATTGTTCACCTCTGTGAGTTGAATGCAGTCATCACAGGAAACATTCTGAGAATGCTTCTGTCTAGGTTTGATGTGAAGATATACCCGTTTCGAAGGAAGGCCACAAAGTGGTCCAAATATCCACTTGCAGATTCTACAAAAAGAGTGTTTGAAAGCTGAACTATGAAAGCAAGGTTCAACTCTGTGAGTTGAATGCAAACATCACAAAGAAGTTTCTCAGAATGCTTCCGTGTAGTTCTGGGAAGTTTATCCCGTTTCCATCGAAATCCTCAGAGAGGTCCAAATATCCACTTGCAGATTCTACGGAAAGTGTGTTTGGAAACTGCGCCATCTAAAGGAATGTTCAGCTCTGTTAGTTCAATGCAATGATCACTAAGAATTATCTGTGAATGCTTCCGTTTGGTTTTTAGATGAAGTTATTTCCTTTACTACAGTAGGCCTCAAAGCAGTCCAAATCTCCAATCGCAGATTCTACAAAAAGATTGTTTACAACCTGCTCTATCTATAGGAATGTTCAACTCTGTGAGTCGAATGCAATCATCACAAAGTAGTTTCTGAGAATGCTTCCATCTAGTTTTTATGTGAAGATTTTCCTTTTCCACCACAGGCTTCAAAGCCCTCCAAATGTCCACTTGCAGATTCTAGAAAAAGAGGGTTTCAGAGCTGTTCTGTCAAGAGGAAAGTTCAGTTCCTGAAGTGGAACACAAACATCACAAAGCAGTTTCTGAGAATGCTCCTGTTTCGTTTTTCTGTGAAGATGAACCCGTTTCCAACGAAATCTTCACAGAGGTCCACATATCCACTTGCAGAATCCAAAGAAAGAGAGTTTCAAAACTGCTCCATCAGCAGGATTGTTCACCTCTGTGAGTTGAATGCAGTCATCACAGGAAACATTCTGAGAATGCTTCTGTCTAGGTTTGATGTGAAGATATACCCGTTTCGAAGGAAGGCCACAAAGTGGTCCAAATATCCACTTGCAGATTCTACAAAAAGAGTGTTTGAAAGCTGAACTATGAAAGCAAGGTTCAACTCTGTGAGTTGAATGCAAACATCACAAAGATGTTTCTCAGAATGCTTCCGTGTAGTTCTGGGAAATTTAGCCCGTTTCCAACGAAATCCTCAGAGAGGTCCAAATATCCACTTGCAGATTCTACAGAAAGTGTGTTTGGAAACTGCTCCATCTAAAGGAATGTTCAGCTCTGTTAGTTCAATCCAATGATCACTAAGAATTGTCTGTGAATGCTTCCGGTTGGTTTTTAGATGAAGTTATTTCCTTTACTACAGTAGGCCTCAAAGCAGTCCAAATCTCCAATCGCAGATTCTACAAAAAGATTGTTTACAACCTGCTCTATCTATAGGAATGTTCAACTCTGTGAGTCGAATGCAATCATCACATAGTAGTTTCTGAGAATGCTTCCATCTAGTTTTTATGTGAAGATTTTCCTTTTCCACCACAGGCCCCAAAGCCCTCCAAATGTCCACTTGCAGATTCTAGAATAAGAGGGTTTCAGAGCTGCTCTGTCAAGAGGAAAGTTCAATTCCTGAAGTGGAACACAAACATCACAAAGCAGTTTCTGAGAATGCTTCTGTTTAGTTTTTCTGTGAAGATGAACCCGTTTCCAACGAAATCTTCACAGAGGTCCACATATCAACTTGCAGAATCCAAAGAAAGAGAGTTTCAAAAGTGCTCCATCAACAGGATTGTTCACCTCTGTGAGTTGAATGCAGTCATCACAGGAAACATTCTGAGAATGCTTCTGTCTAGGTTTGATGTGAAGATATACCCGTTTCGAAGGAAGGCCACAAAGTGGTCCAAATATCCACTTGCAGATTCTAAAAAAAGAGTGTTTGAAAGCTGAACTATGAAAGCAAGGTTCAACTCTGAGTTGAATGCAAACATCACAAAGAAGTTTCTCAGAATGCTTCCGTGTAGTTCTGGGAAGTTTATCCCGTTTCCAACGAAATCCTCAGAGAAGTCCAAATATCCACTTGCAGATTCTACATAAAGTGTGTTTGGAAACTGCTCCATCTAAAGGAATGTTCAGCTCTGTTAGTTCAATCCAATGATCACTAAGAATTGTCTGTGAATGTTTCCGTTTGGTTTTTAGATGAAGTTATTTCCTTTACTACAGTAGGCCTCAAAGCAGTCCAAATCTCCAATCGCAGATTCTACAAAAAGATTGTTTACAACCTGCTCTATGTATAGGAATGTTCAACTCTGTGAGTCGAATGCAATCATCACAAAGTAGTTTCTGAGAATGCTTCCATCTAGTTTTTATGTGAAGATTTTCCTTTTCCACCACAGGCCTCAAAGCCCTCCAAATGTCCACTTGCAGATTCTAGAAAAAGAGGGTTTCAGAGCTGCTCTGTCAAGAGGAAAGTTCAATTCTTGAAGTGGAACACAAACATCACAAAGTAGTTTCTGAGAATGCTTCTGTTTAGTTTTGCTGTGAAGATGAACCCGTTTCCAACGAAATCTTCACAGAGGTACACATATCAACTTGCAGAATCCAAAGAAAGAGAGTTTCAAAACTGCTCCATCAGCAGGATTGTTCACCTCTGTGAGTTGAATGCAGTCATCACAGGAAACATTCTGAGAATGCTTCTGTCTAGGTTTGATGTGAAGATATACCCGTTTCGAAGGAAGGCCACAAAGTGGTCCAAATATCCACTTGCAGATTCTACAAAAAGAGTGTTTGAAAGCTGAACTATGAAAGCAAGGTTCAACTCTGTGAGTTGAATGCAAACATCACAAAGAAGTTTCTCAGAATGCTTCCGTGTAGTTCTGGGAAGTTTATCCCGTTTCCAACGAAATCCTCAGAGAGGTCCAAATATCCACTTGCAGATTCTACAGAAAGTGTGTTTGGAAACTGCGCCATCTAAAGGAATGTTCAGCTCTGTTAGTTCAATGCAATGATCACTAAGAATTGTCTGTGAATGCTTCCGTTTGGTTTTTAGATGAAGTTATTTCCTTTACTACAGTAGGCCTCAAAGCAGTCCAAATCTCCAATCGCAGATTCTACAAAAAGATTGTTTACAACCTGCTCTATCTATAGGAATGTTCAACTCTGTGAGTCGAATGCAATCATCACAAAGTAGTTTCTGAGAATGCTTCCATCTAGTTTTTATGTGAAGATTTTCCTTTTCCACCACAGGCCTCAAAGCCCTCCAAATGTCCACTTGCAGATTCTAGAATAAGAGGGTTTCAGAGCTGTTCTGTCAAGAGGAAAGTTCAATTCCTGAAGTGGAACACAAACATCACAAAGCAGTTTCTGAGAATGCTCCTGTTTAGTTTTTCTGTGAAGATGAACCCGTTTCCAACGAAATCTTCACAGAGGTCCACATATCCACTTGCAGAATCCAAAGAAAGGGAGTTTCAAAACTGCTCCATCCACAGGATTGTTCACCTCTGTGAGTTGAATGCAGTCATCACAGGAAACATTCTGAGAATGCTTCTGTCTAGGTTTGATGTGAAGATATACCCGTTTCGAAGGAAGGCCACAAAGTGGTCCAAATATCCACTTACAGATTCTACAAAAAGAGTGTTTGAAAGCTGAACTATGAAAGCAAGGTTCAACTCTGTGAGTTGAATGCAAACATCACAAAGAAGTTTCTCAGAATGCTTCCGTGTAGTTCTGGGAAGTTTAGCCCGTTTCCAACGAAATCCTCACAGAGGTCCAAATATCCACTTGCAGATTCTACAGAAAGTGTGTTTGGAAACTGCTCCATCTAAAGGAATGTTCAGCTCTGTTAGTTCAATGCAATGATCACTAAGAATTGTCTGTGAATGCTTCCGTTTGGTTTTTAGATGAAGTTATTTCCTTTACTACAGTAGGCCTCAAAGCAGTCCAAATCTCCAATCGCAGATTCTACAAAAAGATTGTTTACAACCTGCTCTATCTATAGGAATGTTCAACTCTGTGAGTCGAATGCAATCATCACAAAGTAGTTTCTGAGAATGCTTCCATCTAGTTTTTATGGGAAGATTTTCCTTTTCCACCACAGGCCTCAAAGCCCTCCAAATGTCCACTTGCAGATTCTAGAAAAAGAGGGTTTCAGAGCTGCTCTGTCAAGAGGAAAGTTCAATTGCTTGAAGTGGAACACAAACATCACAAAGCAGTTTCTGAGAATGCTTCTGTTTAGTTTTTCTGTGAAGATGAACCCGTTTCCAACGAAATCTTCACAGAGGTCCACATATCCACTTGCAGAATCCAAAGTAAGAGAGTTTCAAAACTGCTCCATCAACAGGATTGTTCACCTCTGTGAGTTGAATGCAGTCATCACAGGAAACATTCTGAGAATGCTTCTGTCTAGGTTTGATGTGAAGATATACCCGTTTCGAAGGAAGGCCACAAAGTGGTCCAAATATCCACTTGCAGATTCTACAAAAAGAGTGTTTTAAAGCTGAACTATGAAAACAAGTTTCAACTCTGTGAGTTGAATGCAAACATCACAAAGAAGTTTCTCACAATGCTTCCGTGTAGTTCTGGGAAGTTTATCCCGTTTCCAACGAAATCCTCAGAGAGGTCCAAATATCCACTTGCAGATTCTACAGAAAGTGTGTTTGGAAACTGCGCCATCTAAGGGAATGTTCAGCTCTGTTAGTTCAATCCAATGATCACTAAGAATTGTCTGTGAATGCTTCCGTTTGGTTTTTAGATGAAGTTATTTCCTTTACTACAGTAGGCCTCAAAGCAGTCCAAATCTCCAATCGCAGATTCTACAAAAAGACTGTTTACAACCTGCTCTATCTATAGGAATGTTCAACTCTTTGAGTCGAATGCAATCATCACAAAGTAGTTTACTGAGAATGCTTCCATCTAGTTCTTATGTGAAGATTTTCCTTTTCCACCACAGGCCTCAAAGCCCTGCAAATGTCCACTTGCAGATTCTAGAAAAAGAGGGTTTCAGAGCTGCTCTGTCAAGAGGAAAATTCAATTCTTGAAGTGGAACACAAACATCACAAAGCAGTTTCTGAGAATGCTTCTGTTTAGTTTTTCTGTGAAGATGAACCCGTTTCCAACGAAATCTTCACAGAGGTCCACATATCCACATGCAGAATCCAAAGAAAGAGAGTTTCAAAACTGCTCCATCAGAAGGATTGTTCACCTCTGTGAGTTGAATGCAGTCATCACAGGAAACATTCTGAGAATGCTTCTGTCTAGGTTTGATGTGAAGATATACCCGTTTCGAAGGAAGGCCACAAAGTGGTCCAAATATCCACTTGCAGATTCTACAAAAAGAGTGTTTGAAAGCTGAACTATGAAAGCAAGGTTCAACTCTGTGAGTTGAATGCAAACATCACAAAGAAGTTTCTCAGAATGCTTCCGTGTAGTTCTGGGAAGTTTATCCCGTTTCCAACGAAATCCTCAGAGAGGTCCAAATATCCACTTGCAGATTCTACAGAAAGTGTGTTTGGAAACTGCGCCATCTAAAGGAATGTTCAGCTCTGTTAGTTCAATGCAATGATCACTAAGAATTGTCTGTGAATCCTTCCGTTTGGTTTTTAGATGAAGTTATTTCCTTTACTACAGTAGGCCTCAAAGCAGTCCAAATCTCCAATCGCAGATTCTACAAAAAGATTGTTTACAACCTGCTCTATCTATAGGAATGTTCAACTCTGTGAGTCGAATGCAATCATCACAAAGTAGTTTCTGAGAATGCTTCCATCTAGTTTTTATGTGAAGATTTTCCTTTTCCACCACAGGCCTCAAAGCCCTCCAAATGTCCACTTGCAGATTCTAGAAAAAGAGGGTTTCAGAGCTGCTCTGTCAAGAGGAAAGTTCAATTGTTGAAGTGGAACACAAACCTCACAAAGCAGTTTCTGAGAATGCTCCTGTTTAGTTTTTCTGTGAAGATGAACCCGTTTCCAACGAAATCTTCACAGAGGTCCACATATCCACTTGCAGAATCCAAAGAAAGAGAGTTTCAAAACTGCTCCATCAGCAGGATTGTTCACCTCTGTGAGTTGAATGCAGTCATCACAGGAAACATTCTGAGAATGCTTCTTTCTAGGTTTGATGTGAAGATATACCCGTTTCGAAGGAAGGCCACAAAGGTCCAAATATCCACTTGCAGATTCTACAAAAAGAGTGTTTGAAAGCTGAACTATGAAAGCAAGGTTCAACTCTCTGAGTTGAATGCAAACATCACAAAGAAGTTTCTCAGAATGCTTCCGTGTAGTTCTGGGAAGTTTATCCCGTTTCCAACGAAATCCTCAGAGAGGTCCAAATATCCACTTGCAGATTCTACAGAAAGTGTGTTTGGAATCTGCGCCATCTAAAGGAATGTTCAGCTCTGTTAGTTCAATCCAATGATCACTAAGAATTGTCTGTGAATGCTTCCGTTTGGTTTTTAGATGAAGTTATTTCCTTTACTACAGTAGGCCTCAAAGCAGTCCAAATCTCCAATCGCAGATTCTACAAAAAGATTGTTTACAACCTGCTCTATCTATAGGAATGTTCAACTCTGTGAGTCGAATGCAATCATCACAAAGTAGTTTCTGAGAATGCTTCCATCTAGTTTTTATGGGAAGATTTTCCTTTTCCACCACAGGCCTCAAAGCCCTCCAAATGTCCACTTGCAGATTCTAGAAAAAGAGGGTTTCAGAGCTGCTCTGTCAAGAGGAAAGTTCAATTCTTGAAGTGGAACACAAACATCACAAAGCAGTTTCTGAGAATGCTTCTGTGTAGTTTTTCTGTGAAGATGAACCCGTTTCCAACGAAATCTTCACAGAGATCCACATATCCACTAGGAGAATCCAAAGAAAGAGAGTTTCAAAACTGCTCCATCAGCAGGATTGTTCACCTGTGTGAGTTGAATGCAGTCATCACAGGAAACATTCTGAGAATGCTTCTGTCTAGGTTTGATGTGAAGATATAACCGTTTCGAAGGAAGGCCACAAAGTGGTCCAAATATCCACTTGCAGATTCTACAAAAAGAGTGTTTGAAAGCTGAACTATGAAAGCAAGGTTCAACTCTGTGAGTTGAATGCAAACATCACAAAGAAGTTTCTCACAATGCTTCCGTGTAGTTCTGGGAAGTTTATCCCGTTTCCAACGAAATCCTCAGAGAAGTCCAAATATCCACTTGCAGATTCTACAGAAAGTGTGTTTGGAAACTGCGCCATCTAAAGGAATGTTCAGCTCTGTTAGTTCAATCCAATGATCACTAAGAATTGTCTGTGAATGCTTCCGTTTGGTTTTTAGATGAAGTTATTTCCTTTACTACAGTAGGCCTCCAAGCAGTCCAAATCTCCAATCGCAGATTCTACAAAAAGATTGTTTACAACCTGCTCTATCTATAGCAATGTTCAACTCTGTGAGTCGAATGCAATCATCACAAAGTAGTTTCTGAGAATGCTTCCATCTAGTTTTTATGTGAAGATTTTCCTTTTCCACCACAGGCCTCAAAGCCCTCCAAATGTCCACTTGCAGATTCTAGAAAAAGAGGGTTTCAGAGGTGCTCTTTCAAGAGCAAAGTTCAATTCCTGAAGTGGAACACAAACATCACAAAGCAGTTTCTGAGAATGCTTCTGTTTAGTTTTTCTGTGAAGATGAACCCGTTTCCAACGAAATCTTCACAGAGGTCCACATATCCACTTGCAGAATCCAAAGAAAGAGAGTTTCAAAACTGCTCCATCAGCAGGATTGTTCACCTCTGTGAGTTGAATGCAGTCATCACAGGAAACATTCTGAGAATGCTTCTGTCTAGGTTTGATGTGAAGATATACCCTTTTCAAAGGAAGGCCACAAAGTGGTCCAAATATCCACTTGCAGATTCTACAAAAAGAGTGTTTGAAAGCTGAACTATGAAAGCAAGGTTCAACTCTGTGAGTTGAATGCAAACATCACAAAGAAGTTTCTCAAAATGCTTCCGTGTAGTTCTGGGAAGTTTATCCCGTTTCCAACGAAATCCTCAGAGAAGTCCAAATATCCACTTGCAGATTCTACAGAAAGTGTGTTTGGAAACTGCGCCATCTAAAGGAATGTTCAGCTCTGTTAGTTCAATGCAATGATCACTAAGAATTGTCTGTGAATGCTTCCGTTTGGTTTTTAGATGAAGTTATTTCCTTTACTACAGTAGGCCTCCAAGCAGTCCAAATCTCCAATCGCAGATTCTACAAAAAGATTGTTTACAACCTGCTCTATCTATAGGAATGTTCAACTCTGTGAGTCGAATGCAATCATCACAAAGTAGTTTCTGAGAATGCTTCCATCTAGTTTTTATGTGAAGATTTTCCTTTTCCACCACAGGCCTCAAAGCCCTCCAAATGTCCACTTGCAGATTCTAGAAAAAGAGGGTTTCAGAGCTGCTCTGTCAAGAGGAAAGTTCAATTCTTGAAGTGGAACACAAACATCACAAAGCAGTTTCTGAGAATGCTCCTGTTTAGTTTTTCTGGGAAGATGAACCCGTTTCCAACGAAATCTTCACAGAGCTCCACATATCCACTTGCAGAATCCAAAGAAAGAGAGTTTCAAAACTGCTCCATCAGCAGGATTGTTCACCTCTGTGAGTTGAATGCAGTCATCACAGGAAACATTCTGAGAATGCTTCTGTCTAGGTTTCATGTGAAGATATACCCGTTTCGGAAGGAAGGCCACAAAGTGGTCCAAATATCCACTTGCAGATTCTACAAAAAGAGTGTTTGAAAGCTGAACTATGAAAGCAAGGTTCAACTCTGTGAGTTGAATGCAAACATCAAAAAGAAGTTTCTCAGAATACTTCCGTGTAGTTCTGGGAAGTTTATCCCGTTTCCAACGAAATCCTCAGAGAGGTCCAAATATCCACTTGCAGATTCTACAGAAAGTGTGTTTGGAAACTGCTCCATCTAAAGGAATGTTCAGCTCTGTTAGTTCAATCCAATGATCACTAAGAATTGTCTGTGAATGCTCCGTTTGGTTTTTAGATGAAGTTATTTCCTTTACTACAGTAGGCCTCCAAGCAGTCCAAATCTCCAATCGCAGATTCTACAAAAAGATTGTTTACAACCTGCTCTATCTATAGGAATGTTCAACTCTGTGAGTCGAATGCAATCATCACAAAGTAGTTTCTGAGAATGCTCCATCTAGTTTTTATGTGAAGATTTTCCTTTTCCACCACAGGCCTCAAAGCCCTCCAAATGTCCACTTGCAGATTCTAGAAAAAGAGGGTTTCAGAGCTGCTCTGTCAAGAAGAAAGTTCAATTCTTGAAGTGGAACACAAACATCACAAAGCAGTTTCTGAGAATGCTCTCTGTTAATTTTTCTGTGAAGATGAACCCGTTTCCAACGAAATCTTCCCAGAGGTCCACATATCCACTTGCAGAATCCAAAGAAAGAGAGATTCAAAACTGCTCCATCAACATGATTGTTCACCTCTGTGAGTTGAATGCAGTCATCACAGGAAACATTCTGAGAATGCTTCTGTCTAGGTTTGATGTGAAGATATACCCGTTTCGAAGGAAGGCCACAAAGTGGTCCAAATATCCACTTGCAGATTCTACAAAAAGAGTGTTTGAAAGCTGACCTATGAAAGCAAGGTTCAACTCTGTGAGTTGAATGCAAACATCACAAAGAAGTTTCTCACAATACTTCCGTGTAGTTCTGGGAATTTTATCCCGTTTCCAACGAAATCCTCAGAGAGGTCCAAATATCCACTTGCAGATTCTACAGAAAGTGTGTTTGGAAACTGCGCCATCTAAAGGAATGTTCAGCTCTGTTAGTTCAATGCAATGATCACTAAGAATTGTCTGTGAATGCTTCCGTTTGGTTTTTAGATGAAGTTATTTCCTTTACTACAGTAGGCCTCAAAGCAGTCCAAATCTCCAATCGCAGATTCTACAAAAAGATTGTTTACAACCTGCTCTATCTATAGGAATGTTCAACTCTGTGAGTCGAATGCAATCATCACAAAGTAGTTTCTGAGCAATGCTTCCATCTAGTTTTTATGTGAAGATTTTCCTTTTCCACCACAGGCCTCAAAGCCCTCCAAATGTCCACTTGCAGATTCTAGAAAAAGAGGGTTTCAGAGCTGCTCTGTCAAGAGGAAAGTTCAATTCTTGAAGTGGAACACAAACATCACAAAGCAGTTTCTGAGAATGCTTCTGTTTAGTTTTTCTGTGAAGATGAACCCGTTTCCAACGAAATCTTCACAGAGGTCCACATATCCACTTGCAGAATCCAAAGAAAGAGAGTTTCAAAACTGCTCCATCAACAGGATTGTTCACCTCTGTGAGTTGAATGCAGTCATCACAGGAAACATTCTGAGAATGCTTCTGTCTAGGTTTGATGTGAAGATATACCCGTTTCGAAGGAAGGCCACAAAGTGGTCCAAATATCCACTTGCAGATTCTACAAAAAGAGTGTTTGAAAGCTGAACTATGAAAGCAAGGTTCAACTCTGTGAGTTGAATGCAAACATCACAAAGAAGTTTCTCAGAATGCTTCCCTGTAGTTCTGGGAAGCATATCCCGTTTCCAACGAAATCCTCAGAGAAGTCCAAATATCCACTTGCTGATTCTACAGAAAGTGGGTTTGGAAACTGCTCCATCTAAAGGAATGTTCAGCTCTGTTAGTTCAATCCAATGATCACTAAGAATTGTCTGTGAATGCTTCCGTTTGGTTTTTAGATGAAGTTATTTCCTTTACTACAGTAGGCCTCAAAGCAGTCAAAATCTCCAATCGCAGATTCTACAAAAAGATTGTTTACAACCTGCTCTATCTATAGGAATGTTCAACTCTGTGAGTCGAATGCAATCATCACAAAGTAGTTTCTGAGAATGCTTCCATCTAGTTTTTATGTGAAGATTTTCCTTTTCCACCACAGGCCTCAAAGCCCTCCAAATGTCCACTTGCAGATTCTAGAATAAGAGGGTTTCAGAGCTGCTCTGTCAAGAGGAAAGTTCAATTCTTGAAGTGGAACACAAACATCACAAAGCAGTTTCTGAGAATGTTTCTGTTTAGTTTTTCTGTGAAGATGAACCCGTTTCCAACGAAATCTTCACAGAGGTCCACATATCAACTTGCAGAATCCAAAGAAAGAGAGTTTCAAAACTGCTCCATCAACAGGATTGTTCATCTCTGTGAGTTGAATGCAGTCATCACAGGAAACATTCTGAGAATGCTTCTGTCTAGGTTTGATGTGAAGATATACCCGTTTCGAAGGAAGGCCACAAAGTGGTCCAAATATCCACTTGCAGATTCTACAAAAAGAGTGTTTGAAAGCTGAACTATGAAAACAAGGTTCAACTCTGTGAGTTGAATGCAAACATCACAAAGAAGTTTCTCACAATGCTTCCGTGTAGTTCTGGGAAGTTTATCCCGTTTCCAACGAAATCCTCAGAGAAGTCCAAATATCCACTTGCAGATTCTACAGAAAGTGGGTTTGGAAACTGCTCCATCTAAAGGAATGTTCAGCTCTGTTAGTTCAATCCAATGATCACTAAGAATTGTCTGTGAATGCTTCCGTTTGGTTTTTAGATGAAGTTATTTCCTTTACTACAGTAGGCCTCAAAGCAGTCCAAATCTCCAATCGCAGATTCTACAAAAAGATTGTTTACAACCTGCTCTATCTATAGGAATGTTCAACTCTGTGAGTCGAATGCAATCATCACAAAGTAGTTTCTGAGAATGCTTCCATCTAGTTTTTATGTGAAGATTTTCCTTTTCCACCACAGGCCTCAAAGCCCTCCAAAGGTCCACTTGCAGATTCTAGAAAAAGAGGGTTTCAGAGCTGCTCTGTCAAGAGGAAAGCTCAATTCTTGAAGTGGAACACAAACATCACAAAGCAGTTTCTGAGAATGCTCCTGCTTAGTTTTTCTGTGAAGATGAACCCGTTTCCAACGAAATGTTCACAGAGGTCCACATATCCACTTGCAGAATACAAAGAAAGAGAGTTTCAAAACTGCTCCATCAACAGGATTGTTCACCTCTGTGAGTTGAATGCAGTCATCACAGAAAACATTCTGAGAATGCTTCTGTCTAGGTTTGATGTGAAGATATACCCGTTTCGAAGGAAGGCCACAAAGTGGTCCAAATATCCACTTGCAGATTCTACAAAAAGAGTGTTTGAAAACTGAACTATGAAAGCAAGGTTCAACTCTGTGAGTTGAATGTAAACATCACAAAGAAGTTTCTCAGAATGCTTCCGTGTAGTTCTGGCAAGTTTAGCCCGTTTCCAACGAAATCCTCAGAGAGGTCCAAATATCCAGTGGCAGATTCTACAGAAAGTGTGTTTGGAAACTGCGCCATCTAAAGGAATGTTCAGCTCTGTTAGTTCAATCCAATGATCACTAAGAATTGTCTGTGAATGCTTCCGTTTGGTTTTTAGATGAAGTTATTTCCTTTACTACAGTAGGCCTCAAAGCAGTCCAAATCTCCAATCGCAGATTCTACAAAAAGATTGTTTACAACCTGCTCTATCTATAGGAATGTTCAACTCTGTGAGTCGAATGCAATCATCACAAAGTAGTTTCTGAGAATGCTTCCATCTAGTTTTTATGTGAAGATTTTCCTTTTCCACCACAGGCCTCAAAGCCCTCCAAATGTCCACTTGCAGATTCTAGAAAAAGAGGGTTTCAGAGCTGCTCTGTCAAGAGGAAAGTTCAATTCTTGAAGTGGAACACAAACATCACAAAGCAGTTTCTGAGAATGCTCCTGTTTAGTTTTTCTGTGAAGATGAACCCGTTTCCAACGAAATCTTCACAGAGGTCCACATATCCACTTGCAGAATCCAAAGAAAGAGAGTTTCAAAACTGCTCCATCAACAGGATTGTTCTCCTCTGTGAGTTGAATGCAGTCATCACAGGAAACATTCTGAGAATGCTTCTGTCCAGGTTTGATGTGAAGATATACCCGTTTCGAAGGAAGGCCACAAAGTGGTCCAAATATCCACTTGCAGATTCTACAAAAAGAGTGTTTGAAAGCTGAACTATGAAAGCAAGGTTCAACTCTGTGAGTTGAATGCAAACATCACAAAGAAGTTTCTCACAATGCTTCCGTGTAGTTCTGGGAAGTTTATCCCGTTTCCAACGAAATCCTCAGAGAGGTCCAAATATCCACTTGCAGATTCTACAGAAAGTGTGTTTGGAAACTGCGCCATCTAAAGGAATGTTCAGCTCTGTTAGTTCAATGCAATGATCACTAAGAATTGTCTGTGAATGCTTCCGTTTGGTTTTTAGATGAAGTTATTTCCTTTTCTACAGTAGGCCTCAAAGCAGTCCAAATCTCCAATCGCAGATTCTACAAAAAGGTTGTTTACAACCTGCTCTATCTATAGGAATGTTCAACTCTGTGAGTCGAATGCAATCATCACAAAGTAGTTTCTGAGAATGCTTCCATCTAGTTTTTATGTGAAGATTTTCCTTTTCCACCACAGGCCTCAAAGCCCTCCAAATGTCCACTTGCAGATTCTAGAAAAAGAGGGTTTCAGAGCTGCTCTGTCAAGAGGAAAGTTCAATTCTTGAAGTGGAACACAAACATCACAAAGTAGTTTCTGAGAATGCTTCTGTTTAGTTTTTCTGTGAAGATGAACCCGTTTCCAACGAAATCTTCACAGAGGTCCACATATCCACTTGCAGAATCCAAAGAAAGAGAGTTTCAAAACTGCTCCATCAGCAGGATTGTTCACCTCTGTGAGTTGAATGCAGTCATCACAGGAAACATTCTGAGAATGCTTCTGTCTAGGTTTGATGTGAAGATATACCCGTTTCGAAGGAAGGCCACAAAGTGGTCCAAATATCCACTTGCAGATTCTACAAAAAGAGTGTTTGAAAGCTGAACTATGAAAGCAAGGTTCAACTCTGTGAGTTGAATGCAAACATCACAAAGAAGTTTCTCAGAATGCTTCCGTGTAGTTCTGGGAAGTTTATCCCGTTTCCAACGAAATCCTCAGAGAGGTCCAAATATCCACTTGCAGATTCTACATAAAGTGTGTTTGGAAACTGCGCCATCTAAAGGAATGTTCAGCTCTGTTAGTTCAATCCAATGATCACTAAGAATTGTCTGTGAATGCTTCCGTTTGGTTTTTAGATGAAGTAATTTCCTTTACTACAGTAGGCCTCAAAGCAGTCCAAATCTCCAATCGCAGATTCTACAAAAAGATTGTTTACAACCTGCTCTATCTATAGGAATGTTCAACTCTGTGAGTCGAATGCAATCATCACAAAGAAGTTTCTGAGAATGCTTCCATAAAGTTTTTATGTGAAGATTTTCCTTTTCCACCACAGGCCTCAAAGCCCTCCAAATGTCCACTTGCAGATTCTAGAAAAAGAGGGTTTCAGAGCTGCTCTGTCAAGAGGAAAGTTCAATTCTTGAAGTGGAACACAAACATCACAAAGCAGTTTCTGAGAATGCTCCTGTTTAGTTTTTCTGTGAAGATGAACCCGTTTCCAACGAAATCTACACAGAGGTCCACATATCCACTTGCAGAATCCAAAGAAAGAGAGTTTCAAAACTGCTCCATCAGCAGGATTGTTCACCTCTGTGAGTTGAATGCAGTCATCACAGGAAACATTCTGAGAATGCTTCTGTCTAGGTTTGATGTGAAGATATACCCTTTTCGAAGGAAGGCCACAAAGTGGTCCAAATATCCACTTGCAGATTCTACAAAAAGAGTGTTTGAAAGCTGAACTATGAAAGCAAGGTTCAACTCTGTGAGTTGAATGCAAACATCACAAAGAAGTTTCTCAGAATGCTTCCGTGTAGTTCTGGGAAGTTTATCCCGTTTCCAACGAAATCCTCAGAGAGGTCCAAATATCCAGTTGCAGATTCTACAGAAAGTGTGTTTGGAATCAGCTCCATCTAAAGGAATGTTCAGCTCTGTTAGTTCAATCCAATGATCACTAAGAATTGTCTGTGAATGCTTCCGTTTGGTTTTTAGATGAAGTTATTTCCTTTACTGCAGTAGGCCTCAAAGCAGTCCAAATCTCCAATCGCAGATTCTACAAAAAGATTGTTTACAACCTGCTCTACCTATAGGAATGTTCAACTCTGTGAGTCGAATGCAATCATCACAAAGTAGTTTCTGAGAATGCTTCCATCTAGTTTTTATGTGAAGATTTTCCTTTTCCACCACAGGCCTCAAAGCCCTCCAAATGTCCACTTGCAGATTCTAGAAAAAGAGGGTTTCAGAGCTGCTCTGTCAAGAGGAAAGTTCAATTCTTGAAGTGGAACACAAACATCACAAAGCAGTTTCTGAGAATGCTTCTGTTTAGTTTTTCTGTGAAGATGAACCCGTTTCCAACGAAATCTTCACAGAGGTCCACATATCAACTTGCAGAATCCAAAGAAAGAGAGTTTCAAAAGTGCTTCATCAACAGGATTGTTCACCTCTGTGAGTTGAATGCAGTCATCACAGGAAACATTCTGAGAATGCTTCTGTCTAGGTTTGATGTGAAGATATACCCGTTTCGAAGGAAGGCCACAAAGTGGTCCAAATATCCACTTGCAGATTCTACAAAAAGAGTGTTTGAAAGCTGAACTATGAAAGCAAGGTTCAACTCTGTGAGTGGAATGCAAACATCACAAAGAAGTTTCTCAGCATGCTTCCATGTAGTTCTGGGAAGTTTATCCCGTTTCCAACGAAATCCTCAGAGAAGTCCAAATATCCACTTGCAGATTCTACAGAAAGTGGGTTTGGAAACTGCTCCATCTAAAGGAATGTTCAGCTCTGTTAGTTCAATCCAATGATCACTAAGAATTGTCTGTGAATGCTTCCGTTTGGTTTTTAGATGAAGTTATTTCCTTTACTACAGTAGGCCTCAAAGCAGTCCAAATCTCCAATCGCAGATTCTACAAAAAGATTGTTTACAACCTGCTCTATCTATAGGAATGTTCAACTCTGTGAGTCGAATGCAATCATCACAAAGTAGTTTCTGAGAATGCTTCCATCTAGTTTTTATGTGAAGATTTTCCTTTTCCACCACAGGCCTCAAAGCCCTCCAAATGTCCACTTGCAGATTCTAGAATAAGAGGGTTTCAGAGCTGCTCTGTCAAGAGGAAAGTTCAATTCCTGAAGTGGAACACAAACATCACAAAGCAGTTTCTGAGAATGCTTCTGTTTAGTTTTTCTGTGAAGATGAACCCGTTTCCAACGAAATCTTCACAGAGTTCCACATATCAACTTGCAGAATCCAAAGAAAGAGAGTTTCAAAACTGCTCCATCAACAGGATTGTTCACCTCTGTGAGTTGAATGCAGTCATCACAGGAAACATTCTGAGAATGCTTCTGTCTAGGTTTGATGTGAAGATATACCCGTTTCGAAGGAAGGCCACAAAGTGGTCCAAATATCCACTTGCAGATTCTACAAAAAGAGTGTTTGAAAGCTGAACTATGAAAGCAAGGTTCAACTCTGTGAGTTGAATGAAAACATCACAAAGAAGTTTCTCAGAATGCTTCCGTGTAGTTCTGGGAAGTTTATCCCGTTTCCAACGAAATCCTCAGAGAGGTCCAAATATCCACTTGCAGATTCTACAGAAAGTGTGTTTGGAAACTGCGCCATCTAAGGGAATGTTCAGCTCTGTTAGTTCAATCCAAGGATCACTAAGAATTGTCTGTGAATGCTTCCGTTTGGTTTTTAGATGAAGTTATTTCCTTTACTACAGTAGGCCTCAAAGCAGTCCAAATCTCCAATCGAAGATTCTACAAAAAGATTGTTTACAACCTGCTCTATCTATAGGAATGTTCAACTCTGTGGGTCGAATGCAATCATCACAAAGTAGTTTCTGAGAATGCTTCCCTCTAGTTTTTATGTGAAGATTTTCCTTTTCCACCACAGGCCTCAAAGCCCTCCAAATGTCCACTTGCAGATTCTAGAAAAAGAGGGTTTCAGAGCTGCTCTGTCAAGAGGAAAGTTCAATTCTTGAAGTGGAACAGAAACATCACAAAGCAGTTTCTGAGAATGCTTCTGTTTAGTTTTTCTGTGAAGATGAACCCGTTTCCAACGAAATCTTCACAGAGGTCCACATATCAACTTGCAGAATCCAAAGAAAGAGAGTTTCAAAACTGCTCCATCAACAGGATTGTTCACCTCTGTGAGTTGAATGCAGTCATCACAGGAAACATTCTGAGAATGCTTCTGTCTAGGTTTGATGTGAAGATATACCCGTTTCGAAGGAAGGCCACAAAGCGGTCCAAATATCCACTTGCAGATTCTACAAAAAGAGTGTTTGAAAGCTGAACTATGAAAGCAAGGTTCAACTCTGTGAGTTGAATGCAAACATCACAAAGAAGTTTCTCAGCATGCTTCCGTGTAGTTCTGGGAAGTTTATCCCGTTTCCAACGAAA